>NT_187662.1:0-137721 GCF_000001405.40 Homo sapiens | reverse complement strand
CATCTCTGGCCTCACCCTGCCTTGTAGCCCAGCCTCGGGGTCTGTGCCCCGTGGGCACCCCATGGCCTTTGCATCATCTCTCACGTCACCTGTGATGAGGAAAGGTCCCTACAAGCTGCTGAGAACAGGGGCCCCTGTCTTCCCTCTGGTCCTGCGCGCCATCCTCTCCCTTTGTCCAGATGCTCTTGTAAGCTCAGCAAATGCATGGAGGCTAATGACACTTTCATCTGCTGCTCTTAATGACTTGTGTTGTCAACATTTGACAGACTCCCCTCACTTTCAACTGGCACGCGGCATGAAATCCTTTGGAGCCCCAGTACTGAGGCTGCTCTGACACCGGTTTGAGAGAGGGCAGGCCTGTTACAATGGTGATTGGCTGCGAAGCCGCCTCTGTTCCCAGACGGAGTGGGCTGCATGCAGGAAATGAATAGGGGCTGGAGGCGGAAAATTGGACAGGCCAATTAGACCGAGCCAGGTCTTTTCAGACGAGCGTCATGATTTTGATTCAATTCCCAGGACAACAAATGTGCCTGTGTTTAAACACAGTCTCAGAAATATGTTCTCCCAAGCCAAAGTGAAACCCTGTCTGGGCTGACCCCAATCGGCAGGGCTCGAGGGTGGTGCAGAGCGGGCGGCCTGCATCTGGGGACACTTTTTTTGATTACGTATTTGATTAGTGGCTCATTTCCGACGGGTCTTGTTCCCTGCTGGGGAAAGCCTCTAGTTCTGAAGTCCCATTGCTTCCTCTGTCTTCCACAGTCATCACTGTCTCCCTGACCACGTTTAGCTCTTTGGTTTTTCCCTGCATTCTGGGAGATCCTACAGGTCTCTCCAAATCACTGATTCAAGCTTCTTATTTTTTGCCTGATTTTAGCGACCTCCTCTCATCTTTTGGGTGTATGCCCGTGAAAGCTAGCAAATCTACAAAAGTGTATTTCATACAGACATTTCAAAGAATCATATTCCAGTAAATACCTGTGAGCTCATCAAGAAATAAAATGGTGCTGGATGTGAGAAGCTCCCGTAAACCCACCCTCCCTCTCAGAGGTAACCACCATCTGGAATTTTGTATTAAGCAATCTCTTGCTTTTCTAGTTTAAAAAAACCTTGTATGTATGTATGCATTTCTAAATAAATACAGTTGACCCATGAACCACATGGGCTGGAACTGCACAGGCCCACTCCTAGCTGGATTTTCCTCTCCCTCCATCACCCTTGTGACAACGAAAGCAACCCCTCCTCTTCCTCCTCCTCATCTCCCCGTCACCCCTGTGACAATAAAACCAACTCCCCTTCCTCCTCAGCCTACCCAACACGAAGACGATGAGGATGAAGACCTTCACGATGACCCACTTCCCCTTCATGAAGAGTAAATATATTCTCTCTTCCTCATGATTTTCTTAATAACATTTTCTTTTCTCTAGCTTATTTTATTGTAAGAATATAGTATATAATGCATATAATATACAAAATATGTGTTAACTGAATGTTTTTTATTGGTAAGTCTTCCAGTCAACAGTAGACTATTAGTTAAGTTTTGGAGAGTTAATAGTTATATTAAGATTTTAAGTATGTTTTTGGGTTTTTTTTTTTTTTTTTTTTTTTTTGAGGCAGGATCTCACGCTGTTGCCCAGGCTGAAGTACTGTGGCACCATCTCGGCTCACTGCAGCCTCCGCCTCCCAGGTTCAAGCAATCCTCCGACCTCAGCCTCCCAAGTAGCTGGGGCCACTAGACATGCCCCCACTACACCAGGCTAATTTTTAAAAACTTTTTGTAGTGACAGGTTTCGCCATGTTACCCAGACTGGTCTCAAACTCTGGGGCTCAAGCAATCCTCCCGCCTCAGCCTCCTGAGTAGCTGGGACTATAGGTTCATGCTACCAGGCCTGGATGATTTTTTATTTTTTATTTATTATTATTTTTTTGAGACGGAGTCTCGCTCCGTCACCCAGGCTGGAGTGCAGTGCCGCGATCTCGGCTCACCGCAAGCTCTGCCTCCCGGGTTCACGCCATTCTCCTGCCTCAGCCTCCCGAGTAGCTGGGACTACAGGCGCCCGCCACCACGCCTGGCTAATTTTTTGTATTTTTAGTAGAGACGGGGTTTCACCGTGTTAGCCAGGATGGTCTCGATCTCCTGACCTCATAATCCGCCCGCCTTGGCTTCCTAAAGTGCTGGGATCACAGGCGTGAGCCACCGTGCCTGGCCGATTTTTTATTTTTTAGAGACGAGGGATCGCCATGTTGCCCAGGCTGGTCTTGAACTTCTGTGGCCTCAAGCAGTCCTCTTGCCTCAGCCTCCCAGAGTGCTGGGTGTGAGCCACCGTGCCTGACCTACTTATTCTTTTTCCTGTTCAGCATCTAGTGTATGATACGATTTGCTTATTTGTTTATGTTTCATCGTCTGTTCCCCACCCTCAGCCCTGGCCCCCTTGCTGGAACGCAAGCTCCAGGCAAAGCTATTTCACCGTTGCTGTTTTCCAAGGGCCTCGAACAGTGCCCGGCACATAGCAAATCCTCAGTGAACATTAGAGGAATAAGTGATTCAAGAATAGAGCTGTTAGAAGGTGTTCTGGAGGAAGACGCATCCGGCTTCATCCCTGGCACCATCAATTACTACCCAACGTCTTTGGGCAAGTGACCTCTTCTCTCTAAGCTTCAGTTTCTCCACCTGTCACAGAGGACAATGGGCTCCCGTGGGGATGAAGCGAGATGATCATGGCCTGGCCCTTAGTGGGCACTCAGCTCACATCTGCTATGAACGATGGGAGTCCTTCGGTGTGCCTGTGTGTGAACGATGAACTCACGGACTGGAGCACTGTGCTGAAAGAGTCAGCAGCCTCTTGGATCTCTCAGTGCCTCAGAGGCAAACTTCTCCAGTGCACAGACGTGGGCTCAGGTAGACGCCCCAGGCAAGGGGCAGGGGAAGATGGGATGGCTCAGTCCATCTGCAGGGGTGCAGTGCAGGAGTCCCCATGAGGCAGACTGCCCTGGGGGCTGGTGAGCACCAGGAGCCCCCTCCTCCTGCCACCACCCATGTGTGGGAGGCCAGGAGGCTGCACTGATAGCGGGTCTCTCTGGCAGAGCCACAGAGGCGTGGGAGGCGACCAACACACTGAGGAAGTATGACCATCCGGGTCCCCCAGGGATGCCGTGACAGCAGCCCAGAGTGAGGCAGGCACAGACGGTGGGGTGCTCAGGCAGCCGCCCGCCCCAGCACCAGCCACCCACTCCCGAATGCACTCACAGACCTCCAGAGGGGGCCCTCTGGCAAAGCTGTTTGCAGCAAAAATCCAAACTGCAAGTAACAGCAGAACCAGGAGAGAAACAGCATGGAGAAACAGATGGCAGCTTGCGGTGAGCACAGGCCGCCTGCCCGGGAAGCAGGTGCCGCAAGGATGCTGGGCTGGGGCTCGGCTAGCACGGCCAGTTCCCACCAGCGGCTGGGCTGGCTGCGGAGTTTGGGAGCCCCCGATGATCCTGACCTTCCGTAGGCCTGTGAGGCCCAGACTGAGGAAGAGTCTCCCAGCTGGAAGACCCCAGTGGGCTGCTGGTCACCTCCAGGATAAGTGAGTTGGAGAGGATTTAAAAACCAACCCTGCCAGGCATGGCGGCTCATGCCTGTAATCCCAGCACTTAGGGCAGCAGAGGCAGGAGGATTGGTTGAGCTCAGGAGTTTGAGGCCAGCCTTGGCAACATCGTGAGATGCCAACTCCACAAAAGAAAAAAAAAAAAAATTTCTCCCATTCTGTAGGTTGCCTGTTCACTTTGATCATAGTTTCCTTTGCTGTGTGGAAGCTCTTTAGTTTAATTAGATCCCATTTGTCTATTTTGGCTTTTGTTGCCATTGCTTTTGGTGTTTTAGACATGAAGTCCTTGCCCATGCCTATGTCCTGAATGGTAAAGCCTAGGTTTTCTTCTAGGGTTTTTATGGTTTTAGGTCTAACATTTAAGTCTTTAATCCATCTTGAATTAATTTTTGTATAAGGTGTAAGGAAGGGATCCAGTTTCAGCTTTCCACGTATGGCTAGCCAGTTTTCCCAGCACCATTTATTAAATAGGGAATCCTTTCCCCATTTCTTGTTTTTGTCAGGTTTGTCAAAGATCAGATGGTTGTAGATGTGTGGTATTATTTCTGAGGCCTCTGTTGTGTTCCATTGGTCTATATCTCTGTTTTGGTACCAGTACCATGCTGTTTTGGTTACTATAGCCTTGTAGTATAGTCTGAAATCAGGTAGCGTGATGCCTCCAGCTTTGTTCTTTTGGCTTAGAATTGACTTGGCAATGCGGGCTCTTTTTTGGTTCCATATGAACTTTAAAGTAGTTTTTTCCAATTCTGTGAAGAAAGTCATTGGTAGCCTGATGGGGATGGCAATGAATCTACAAATTACCTTGGGCAGTATGGCCATTTTCACAATATTGATTCTTCCTATCCATGAGCATGGAATGTTCTTCCATTTGTTTGTGCCCTCTCTTATTTTGTTGAGCAGTGGTTTGTAGTTCTCCTTGAAGAGGTCCTTCACATCCTTTGTAAGTTGGATTCCTAGGTATTTTATTCTCTTTGAAGCAATTGTGAATGGGAGTTCACTCATGATTTGGTACTCTGTTATTGATGTATAGGAATGCTTGTGATTATTGCACATTGATTTTGTACCCTGAGACTTTGCTGAAGTTGCTTATCAGCTTAAGGAGATTTTGGGCTGAGACAACAGGGTTTTCTAGATATACAATCATGTCATCTGCAAATAGGGACAATTTGACTTCCTCTTTTCCTAATTGAATACCCTTTATTTCTTTCTCCTGCCTGATTGCCCTGGCCAGAGCTTCCAACAGTATGTTGAATAGGAGTGGCGAGAGAGGGCATCCCTGTCTTGTGCCAGTTTTCAAAGGGAATGTTTCCAGTATCCAGAATCTACAAAGAACTTAAAACAAATTTACAAGAAAAAATCAAACAACCCCATCAAAAAGTGGGCAAAGGATAAGAACAGACACTTCTCAAAAGAAGACATTTATGCAGCCAAAAAACACATGAAAAAATGCTCACCATCACTGGCCATCAGAGAAATGCAAGTCAAAACCACAATGAGATACCATCTCACACCAGTTAGAATGGCGATGATTAAAAAGTCAGAAAACAACAGGTGCTGGAGAGGATGTGGAGAAATAGGAACAATTTTACACTGTTGGGGGAATGTAAACTAGTTCAACCATTGTGGAGGACAGTGTGGTGATTCCTCAGGGATCTAGAACTAGAAATACCATTTGACCCAGCCATCCCATTACTGGGTATATACCCAAAGGACTATAAATCATGCTGCTATAAAGACACATGCACACGTATGTTTATTGCAGCACTATTCACAATAGCAAAGACTTGGAACCAACCCAAATGTCCATCAGTGATAGACTGGATTAAGAAAATGTGGCACATATACACCATGGAGTACTATGCAGCCATAAAAAAGGATGAGTTCATGTCCTTTGTAGGGACATGGATGAAGCTGGAAACCATCATTCTCAGCAAACTATCGCAAGGACAGAAAACCAAACACCGCATGTTCTCACTCATAGGTGGGAATTGAACAATGAGAACACATGGACACAGGAAAGGGAACATCACACTCCAGGGACTGTTGTGGGGTGGGGGGAGGGGGGAGGGATAGCATTAGGAGATATACCTAATGCTAAAATGACGAGTTAATGGGTGCAGCACACCAACATGGCACAGGTATACAGATGTAACGAACCTGCACATTGAGCACATGTACCCTAGAACTTAAAGTATTATTTAAGTCACACACACACACACACACACACACACCAAAAAACCATGTAAGACCAACCCTGTGAAGCCACTTTTCTTTTTTTAGTCAATCAACAAGCAGGAGAGAGGGGCCAGAAGGAAGAAATAAAGACCCAGCCTCAGTGGGCCAGTGGCGACGTGAGATCCCAGCAAGGGCGACATCAGGGAGAGACCCCAGCAAGGGCTACGTCAGGGTGAGACCCCAGCAAGGGCTACGTCAGGGTGAGACCCCAGCGAGGGCGACATCAGGAAGAGACCCCAGCGAGGGCGACGTCAGGGAGAGACCCCAGCGAGGGCGACGTCAGGGAGAGACCCCAGCGAGGGTGACGTCAGGGAGAGACCCCAGCGAGGGTGACGTCAGGGAGAGACCCCAGCGAGGGTGATGTCAGGGTGAGACCCCAGCGCGGGTGACGTCAGGGAGAGACCCCAGCGAGGGTGACGTCAGGGTGAGACCCCAGCGAGGGCGACGTCAGGGAGAGACCCCAGCGAGGGTGACGTCAGGGAGAGACCCCAGCGAGGGTGACGTCAGGGAGAGACCCCAGCGAGGGTGATGTCAGGGAGAGACCCCAGCGAGGGTGACGTCAGGGAGAGACCCCAGCGAGGGTGACGTCAGGGAGAGACCCCAGCGAGGGTGACGTCAGGGTGAGACCCCGGCGAGGGCGACGTCAGGAAGAGACCCCAGCGAGGGCGACGTCAGGGAGAGACCCCAGCGAGGGCGACGTCGGGGAGAGACCCCAGCGAGGGTGACGTCAGGGAGAGACCCCAGCGAGGGTGACGTCAGGGAGAGACCCCAGCGAGGGTGACGTCAGGGTGAGACCCCGGCGAGGGCGACGTCAGGAAGAGACCCCAGCGAGGGCGACGTCGGGGATATCCAAAGTGCCCCACAGGGAAAAGATTCTGAAGAGATCGGAACACGAAATTTCTTTGCAAATTTCTCTTTCAATCCACAAACTTTTCCCGAGCACCTTTATATACAACACACTGCAGGAGACACTGAGTGCTGGCTGTGGCCCGTGGCTGCCGGGTTATAATCAGGATGTGGCGGGAAATTGAGGAGGCAAAGCCAATGCTGAACAGAGAAGAACACGCTAATTGTCTTAACCAGCTTTCAGCTCCTTAAAAATTGGTCTTCTTCACCCCTTTCTAGGCCACCCCCCCTCAGATAACATCTGTGTCCTCCAAGAAGCTTTCTTATGGCCCAGGTACGTTTGAGACGCTGCAGGAATGGTTTGCAGAATCCTGGGGAATCTAGATTCCAGTGAACTTTTCTACTGATTACAGCATCACTTTGAGTGAGTCATTCTTCGTTTTCGTTTAGTGGATAGGGATTCGAGGCTAAACAGTAAATGAAATGAATTTCTGGTTTGCAACATCCTGTGCTTAGAAGCCGCCAGGGCCGTTCCTCCCAGCCCCAACTAACGCACCCATGAAAGCACGTGGAAAAGGCACCGCGAAACCCCAGCCCGGGGCCTCTGACAGCTCAGCACCAGGCTCCACATCAGGTGAGGGGATGAGGCGGGAGACGGGAGGCGTGCCATGGACCACCTGGGCCTCGCCTGCCCACCTGGGCCTCGCCTGCCTGGCTGGAGTAGGGGCAGCAGCTGAAGCCGCCTGGGCAGCCTTCCTGGCACTTCAGGGCTGCCAGTTCCTGGGGCCACAGGGGCTGTCCTCCCTCCGCCAACCCTCCTGTCATCCCTGGGAGATACAGCTTCCAGAATCTAGCCAGTCCGGCAATGTGAGTTGCATTGGGGAAGGAGTATTTCCTGAAGCAAGGCTGCATCTGGGAGAGCAGGGAGAGCAGGAAGAGCGGAGGAGACAGCATAAGCCAGGGGCTGCGGTCCCTCGTCCTCCCTGGTTCCGACGGGCCAGGTCGCAGGAGAGTCAAAGGTGCCTCCTGCATGGGGCAGGGTCACAGGCACAATCCCAGACCAAGGGAGGGGCTATGAGGAGACGCCTTGGAGTCAATCCTGGGTCTGCGGGGCTTAGGCTGCTGCAGAAGCGGGGAGGGGAAAACCTCCAAAGTGTTTAGTGCAGGTGAATGTGGCATGCTAGGGCTCAGGAACATAATTAGACAATTGTTTGGTGTCTAGGAAACATAAAGACGGGCCTTACTAATAAAATAGAAAACCAAAAGAAGAAAAGGAGCAAAATAAAGGAAATAATGGAGGACTGCCGGGAAACCAGAGTGGAGAACAGAATCGAAACTTACACCGGAGGGGAAAGAGCAGACGTGGTCACGGAGAAAACAGAGTAGCTGGAATGCTGTTCTAGGCTCATAGGAGCATGAGCTGGTATTAATACAGGCACTCTGGAAAATGATCAGGAATTACCCAATAGAGTTGAATGTGGACACACCCCATAATCCAAGAGAAACCCTCAGGCCTAAAATCTGCAGAAACTCTTGTACATGAACATGTACTCCAGGAGACATGAATGTTTACAGCACAATTATTCATAACAGCAAAAAAAACAAAAAACAAAAAAAGGAGAGTAACCAAAATGATCACCAATGGTAGAATGGATAAATAGGTACGTATTTTTTACAATGGGATATAGACCACAGTGATGGGAATGAATACAGCTACACACATCAACATGGGTGAATTTCAAGATCACAATGTCGAATAAAGAAGAAATGCACAGAAAAATACACACAGATCCACCTTGTTTATGTCACATTCAAACACAAGCAGAACTAAGCATGGGGACGTCTGCAGTGGGGTAACGACTCCAGTGGTAATTAGTGGGTACCTCTTTTATTATGATTCTTCAAACTGCACACAAGTGTTTCTGAGTACAGTTTGGAACCATAAGCTCCCAGGCTGGAGTACATTGGTGCAATTACGGTTCACCGCAGCCTCGACCTCTGGGGCTTAAGCAGTCCTCCCACCTCAGCCTCCTGATAGCTGAGGCTACAGGCGTGTGCCACTATACCTGGCTAATGTGGGGATTTTTTGTAGAGAGGGTGTTTCACCATGTTGCCCAGGCTGGTCTCAAGCTCCTGGGCTCAAGCAATCTGCCCACCTTGGCCTCCCAAAGTGCTGGGATTACAGGTGTGAGCCACCATGCCCAGGCTTATTCCCTTTTTTGTTTATTTAAATCTTGAACACACATCACAGTTTATTAATCCACCAGCAAGAAAACCAGGCGAGGGACTAGAGTGTGCCAGTCCACAGCGGGAATGGAATGGAAAGTCCAGAGCTGGGAAATGGAGCTCTGAGCTAAGCAGCCAGTTTACAAAGGCAAGCAGCTCATTAGGAGGATGTCACGGTTCTGTGTGGTCTCAAGAACCTCGTCTCCAGGACAGTTGGTACAGAGGAAATCGGGGACGAGACAGTTGGGAGCACCAATCAGGAATCAAACATTTAAAATAACCAATGAGAAGCAAATGATAAGGAAACATCTGTGGCTGTTAATAGGAATGACAAGGTTCACCGTGCTAAGAAATGACTAAAATATAGTTCAACCGAGTTTTAAAATTCATTCGTGAGATCTCTCATTTTTAGGGATGAAAATGGTTCCTGGGGTTCTTTTCCAAATTTGCTTGTACTTTTCTCAAAGGTCTGGTTTGTTCAACCTGGTTTCTATTCCTTCTCTTAGATCTTTTGTTTTATTTTAGAGACAGGGCCTTGCTCTAAAGACCTCAGTGAGCCTTTCTCACTAAGGCTGGAGTGCAGTGGCACGATCTCAGCCCACTGCCACCTCCACCCCCCGGGCAGAAGTGATCCTCCCGCCTCAACCTCCCAGGAAGCTGGGACTGCAGGCGCTCACCACGATGCCCAGCTAATTTTTGTATTTTTTTGCAGAGAAAAAGTCTTGCCATATCTCCCAGGCTGGTCTCAAACTCCTAGGCTCAAGCAATCCTCCTGCCTCAGCTTCCCAAAATGTCGGGATTACAGGTGTGAGCCACTGTACCTGGCCTCTCTTATATCTTTTAATTAATTAATTTTTAAAAAACACATTATCATCTCTTTCACCATTTCACTATTCGCTCTCATTTTCTGGGTACCAATTCTCCAAGCTGTTATATTTTCCATTTCTCCCTCTTTTCTTAATGTGGCTGGTGGACAACAGGGGTAGAATCCACAGAATTTTGAGTGGGAAAGATCAGGATTAATTGCATTATCTGTAAAGTGGTCTTTTTTGTATAAAGGCAAAAATTCTCAGAGAGCCAAGGACTCAGAAAATGTATCATCCATGCACCCTTATTTTTTTAATTACATAAAATTACAGACCAGCTAATTATTAGAAAAATAAAATAACTCAAGAGTCTACAAGAAAATAATCATTGATTTTCCTCCTAGAAATCCATTCTAAGGATAGAATCTAAAATGTAGACAGAGAGCTATGCACACAGTAATAAGAGAAAGAAATGAAAACAATTTAAATGTCCTCAATTAGGAGAATATCTATATGACAGAATGTTTACAAAGAGTTCTTGATTACACCGGAAAAGACTTAAGATATTCATTTTAAAACACAGGTTCAATAATATAAAGAAAAAAGACACAGAAAAATGGTTGGAATATACTAAATATTAACAGTGGTTGTCTCTGATTCTGGATTTTTGGAAGGTGTTTATTTATTTATGCTTGTCTATAATTGTAAATGTTCCTCAATGATCCATATTAATTTTATAATCAGAAAAGAGTAAAATGTAGAGAGTAGATGTTAAAAAATGAAAACTTCCAAAGGTAACAACAGATAAGAACTTAAATATCTGGGCAATATTAAATAAGAAAAATAAAATACTATGCTACTGGCTTTGAGATAGTCTACAGTTTATCCTCAGCACAGCAGACAGAGTACCCTTTAAAAGAGGGGGAGATCGGATTCTGTCTCCGCTTTACTCAAGACCCTCCAAGGGCGCCTCATTTTACTGAATATAAAACCAAAGTCTTGGCCAGGTGTAGTGGCTCACGCCTGTAATCTCAGCACGTTGGGAGACTGGGGCAGGTGGATTTGCTTGAGCTCAGGAGTTTGAGACCAGCCTGGGCAACATGGCAAAACCCCGTCTCTACAAAAATGCAAAAAATTAGCTGGGCGTGGTGGTACAGCCTGTAGTCCCAGCTATTCGGGAGGCTGAGGGGGGAGGGTTGTTTGAGCCCTGAAGGCAGAGGTTGCAGTGAGCTGAGATCGTGGCACTGCCCTACAGCCTGGGTGACACAGTGAGATCCTGTCTCAAAAAAACAAAACAAATAAAAAAAACCCCGAAACCCTAAGTCCTTACAAAGGTCTCTAAGCACCAACATGGTCTGACCCACTCTATCGTAACTCTGATGATACAGTTTGGCTGTGTCCCCACCCAAATCTCATCTTGAACTGCAGCTCCCATAATTCCCAAGTGTTGTGGGAGGGACCCAGTGGGAGGTAATTGAATCATGGGGGCGGTTCCCTCCATACTGTTCTCGTGATAGTGAATGAGTCTCACGAGATCTGATGGTTTTATAAGAAGAAACTCCTTTCACTTGGTCTCATTCTTTCTTTGCCTGCCGCCATGTAAGACGTGCCTTTCGCCTTCCGCCGTGATTGTGAGGCCTCCCCAGCCATGTGGAACCGTGAGTCCATCAAGCCTCTTCCCTTTAGTACCCAGTCTCAGGTATGTGTTTATTAGCAGCATGAGAACAGACTAATACATCTGACAACCTCTCCCCAGCCCCAACTTAACTCAAGTCACACTGGTCTCCTCGCTGTGCCTCAGATCTACCAAGCACACACATCTGCCTCGGGGCCTTTGCACCTGCTGCTTTGCACCCCTACTTGGAATGCTTTCCCTCCACATAGCCACAGAAGATGCTTCAGATCTCCATTCAAAAGTCATTTTGTCGGTGGGCCCCTCTCTTATCCCCATATAAACCAGCAACTGCCCCAGTGTCCCCAGCACCCCTTCTCCCTTTGCCCTAAGGACTTGATCACCGTCTGTGACACTGCAGAATTTACTGGGTTTGTGGTCTCCCTCTCCCATTGGAAGAGCTATTTTGCCTGGCACATAGGAGGTGCTCAATAAATGTGTCAGCTGCCTACATGAATAAACGCATTTGACTGCAGGCTCCCAAAGCAGATGGGCTGAGGCTCACACTGCCGCCTGGTGAAAGGGCATAACACAGGCAGCAACACCACCCTGACAGCCCCAGGAACATCTCACCAGCACTCAACTCGCTCCAGAAAAAATACTTACAATTACAGCCAGAGATGATGGAAGTGAAGCACGAAAGGAAAGGAAGATAAGAGGCCTTGGGCAGAATGCTCCAAGAGTTTTCATCAGAAAACCCAAGTTCTTCCATTAGGATTTGGCTTTTGCGGGGAGACATAACTCCAAATTTTCATCACAGACTCAGAACCAGCTTAAAATCTGACATTTTAAACGGCCTTTCTAGTTAGTTATCTCTTCATTATGATTAGACATTTTTCTAAGAAGAAAGGGCATTAGGAAACCAATTACGCCAGCCTTCCCACACCCCACAAGCAGGCAGAAAAATCCAGCACATGGTTCTGGTACCCACAGGTACCCAGGCTCATATACCATGAACATGTTCCCAGCCCCATCCATTCCTGCTAACCGTGCACCATATGCCTGGTGCTGCAGAGAGGGAATATCCTTGATCTTTTAGAGGCTAAGTTTTATCAGCCTCTAAAAATTCAAGGGCAAAGTAATAGCGTAATGCACAGCCTCATATTCTCTGCCTTAGGAAAGATAAGAAAATTCATCCTAAGCTATTTCGGACTTTTCTGGGCACTGGAGCCCTCTGGAGATTAAGACAGGCTGGTGGTAGCTCAAGACTGTTACGGAGTGTGAGGGTGACTCATGAGGGGGATGGGGAAACCCTCAACTAAATTATTAAACTTGCTAAATTTGTCTTTCCTTCCATTCACTTTCTTTTCCTTCAAAGATCCCTCACTTCTGCCCTCCCACAGCTCAGCTGTGACCATCTTTTCATCCCACAAAGTGTCTCCCCACAGACGATGTTTTAAGGAATTTCCTCTTCCATGGACATGTGCATTGTCAAAGGGGTCCCCTGAAGATTAGAAGGACCTCAGGTTCAAAGGGGAGATTTCTGGCTGAAGAGGAAGGGAGGCCTCTGATAGTTATGGAATATCTATGCTGGAGGTTTTGCCCACTTCAACAGTCTTACTGAATTCTCGCAGCAACTGTGGAGCAGACATTATTAACTCCATCTGGGGATGAGGAGTCAGGGACTTCCAGCAAGACAGAATGCTAGCACACACTGTGAGGCCCTGCCTGCAGCTTTTCCTGTTCCAAAGACACGGAAGTGATAGAGGAAAATACTTTCACAACAACAGCAGCAAGGAAATGTGCGCAAAAACAAGATCTATATCTCCATGGATCATAAATTCAAAGTATTTGCCATTTTGAGGGGTGAAGGCACAGCCGCTTGCTGAGCTCTGGGCTCCGAAGCAGACAGAGGCAGCTGGGAGATTGGTCTTCCAGGGTTCAGGGACTAAAAGTGACCCTTGGGAGGTGGGGGACCAGAGCAGAGTCACTAAAATCAGGCTGTTGAGGGGATTTTCCACCTGGGAAAGGAGGCTGAAAACAGCAGGGACCTGCCCCGGGACTATAACATACATAAGGAAATGAGCTCAGAGGAAAGCAAGCCCAGCAGCAGCAGGGCCTGGCCAAGCTGTCACGGCTGGGATGAGGGTCTGGGAATAATCCCAGTATCACCATGGATGAGCAGCTCGCCACAAACCCAGGATGCCTGGCTCAGCACTGGGCAACCCCAGACCCAGCGGGAGGCAGCTGCAAAACTATTCAGCTAGAAGAGCCGGGTGGGAAACAGAGAGAAACGGACTATTATCACACAGGATGAGCGCACAAACCAAAATTCCAAAACTTCCAAGGAAAACTAACCCTAAGAAAGACAACCCACGAAACCAATGGGGAATTGATCTCAAGGAAAGACTTAGTGACTTGGAAGGCAGTACTGAAGAATTCACCCAGAAAGGACCACAGAAAGATAAAGAAATAAACAAGAAAGAGCAGTTGGGAGCTGTGGGGGATGGTTGAGGAGCTCTGAAATGTATCCAGCGGGATTTCCAGAGAGGAGAGAAGGAATGGCAGAGGAGCAATATTCAAAGACATCATGGCTGAGAATTTTCCAGAATTGAAGGTGTTTTGTGGATCCTCGGATGTGACAAGCAAGATTTAAAAAGTAATAAATCCTGATCTGGAAGACCAGCTGCACGCCTCCTCGCCCCTCACATTCTGTCCCAGCCCTGCCTCCCCAGGGCACTTCCCAGAAGCTACCTGCCACGTCCTGCTGTTTTGGCTCCAATCCGACCTGGCACAGGGAGGTTCTGACTGTCCCTGCCCATCTGCTACTCCCCAGAGTCCTTGCTGAGCCTCGACTTCCTTCCCTCAAATGGGGTTGGAACTAGAACCATAGAACTGTAGCAGCAGAAGGGGCGTTGGGTGGCATCGTGACAGCAGACAACGGCTGAGTTTGGTTTCCAGCTCCCCCACTAACTGGCTCTGTGCTTGCAGGTTATTTAACCTCTTGTGTCTTTATTTCCCCATCAGGAAAAGGGGATAAGAATAGCACCACTGGGGTTGTGCAGGGATGAAATGAATTCATACATGCAAGGAACTTATGGCAGTGCCAGGCACACAGTCAGCGTTCACCCTGGGTAGCTACTACTGTTACCATAATAACAGCCCCCACAAACACCACATGCTCTCACACTCACAGTGCGAGGGGCTTCCCACCGAAACCTCGGACTCTCCCACGTGTAGAACCTGCCACCCCTGCATAGGGGAAGTGGCCACAGGCTGTCCCTCCGTGCTTTTCTCCGCCGAGTGGTCAGTTCTTCCTTGACTTCTGGAGAAACCCCTCCCAGTGACTGTCCACCCATCCCCATCTGAGAGCGTATCCAGCCCGCCCAGCCCTCCCCACCGTCACCCTGACCGTCCACCCATCCCCATCTGAGGGCATATCCAGCCCACTCAGCCCTCCCCACCGTCACCCTGGACGCCCTACCTCTCTTTGCTCACTGCAGATCTTACACAGCCACAGGGGCCGCTTCTGGCCAGGGGAGGCCTCGATCCCACATTTGGTGCAGACTTTCTACAAGAGAGAGGACATGGGGTTGTAAAGATTGCAGCCGCTTCCTCCTCCGCCGAGGGGCTCAGACAACTGTAACGAAGGGACACTTAGCATCTTCCAAGGAGCGTCTCTTGCTTCAGGATAGAAGGAATCAATCACCCCAGAGGCACAGCTCATCTAAAAATCCTTAGTTGGCTTTGGACGTAATGGATGGCCCCATCCACGGAACCCCCACCCCAGAGTTAGGTTCTGTTGGAACCACAGCAAAGCTTGCTGACATTCACAGCTGCGTCACGTTTGATAGCAAAGAACTGGAAACAACACAGACGCCCAATGCCAGGGGAGGGTCCAGGCAAACACGACAGCACGTGATCTGGCCTTCACACAGCCGACGGCGGTGCTGCCTGGAAATAATGCGATTCAACAAAGAAACATACGTTTGCGTATAACCCGAAACTGGCCTGCGTGTCCGACAGGTCAGAAGACACAATCGTGAGAAATGCTGGTAACAACGTGACAGTTACGTAAACTTTGGGCCCACGTTATAGGTGAGGAACCCGGGGCTTGGCAGAGTCTGAGGATATGCTCAGGTTCACATGGCAGCCACGGATTCCGGTCGGACTCCAGAGACAGTTTATCATGTTCTCTGGACGCAGAAATAACCAGAATCTAGAACCTACAGTCTGCTGATGTGCTGGGCCATCGAAGACCCCACGCCTGGGAGCTTCATGAGAACTGGAAAGGGGCTTTGCTTTAAGCAAGGTTGATTAAGCTCATAACTTATAAATACAATTACTGTTGCTTAAAAACAAGAATATGTCCTGAGAAAAGGCACAGTGAGGTGATTGCATCATTGTGCAAACAGCACATAGAGCACACTTACGCAAACCAAGATGGTATAGCCGGCTGCACACCCAGGCTAGCTGCTGTATTCTGTGGCTGCTAGGCCACAAACCTGAACGACATGTTACTGTACCGAAGGCTGCAGGCAACTGTGACACAGCGGAAAGTATTCCTGTATCTAAATATATCATAGAAATGGTACAGTAAGAATGTGGTATTATAATGGTGTGGGACATTTGCTGGCCGAAACGTCATTATGTGATGCAGGACAGTTCTTACGTTGCTTCCCCTGAAGGCACAGCAACAAGGCCAGAAGAAGCAAGCTGGGAGGCAGAGGTGGATGTGTTGGGGCTGAGACCGGCTCCAGGCTAACCCAGGCAGAGTCTGATTCAGCGATCGCTGGCGACTCCTCAGGACTGTTGCCCCAGCTCATCCATCTTTCTGCCACACGGAAGCCACCCGGTCCCTGCGTGGGTGGGGGCTCTCTGCAGCCCCCCGCCGAGGGAAGGTTGCATCTGTTGCTTGGCCTTTTCTGCAGGCTGCCAACTCAGCAAGGAGCACGTCTCTCCATGGAGAGGGAAAATGTCACCAACTTGGCTTCCACGTCGAGCGTGTCGAGCGTGTGGAGGTCACTGGCCTGATCGGGTGGCCGAGCTCAGTGCCCCTGGGGTGGGGGAGCAAACTCACGGGGGACGGAAGCTATGATACATTCCTGCGGGGGACGGATTTGCTACCATCCAATGCTCAGGTACGAGAAATGTCACCTTTTATTTATCCAAAGAAAATGCAATCTGCTCCAAGCTCCTGTCCCTCTGGATTGGCAGGAAAATCTGCCCAAGCCTCAGCCACACTTGGGGCCCCTTTCCAGCTCTCATGAAGGTCCTAGGCTTGGGGTGTTTGATGGCCCAGATCTGCAGAGGGTCCCCTGAGCGCCGTCCACACTCCTCACTGCTGGCCTTCTTGCTTCCCAAGCTCTCATGACCCCATGAGAGGGAGTGGGAGCATGTGGTCATATCTGTGCCAGTCCTGGGTTTGGGATCATTGCTAGGCTGGGCTTCAGCCCTTCCAAGGACCAGTAGCCTGTCTCCCTGGAACCCTAGGCCACCATCCCTCACAGAGACTGGTGACTCTCCCCTTCCCCAAGAGAGCAGCCTCTCTCCACCTCTTCCACCCTTCGCTCCTAATGTTCCCACCTCTACAACAGGGTCCCCCATCAGCCTATGAGGTGGGCTCCAGAACCACAACGTGGGCCTCTCCTCTCTGGGTAAAGGGGAGAGGAAGCACTGATGCTACTTAGCTCTGTTTTCCTTGCGAATTCCCACCATCCCTGTGTACACTGTAACAGGTGGAAACAAGTGTGGCCCTCAGAGACGTGAGCTCTCCCTTCTGCACTCTACACACGCATCGGTTGAGGGCAGCTCACCTTATAAACATGCAGAGTGCCCTGCCCTGCATAGGCTGCTGAACGAGGCGATGCTGCGGGAACAGGAGGGAATCAAACACCCACAGCGCAGTTAGTGAGCAGTTATCGGACCGGGCCAGAGTATGAAGGAGGCAGGTGTTATGATCCCCACTATATAGATGAAGGAACAAAGGCTCAGAGATGACTCGGGCTGCCCGAGGTCACACAGCTCGTTCACGGTAAAGCAGAATTTTTGTTCAGACCTCAGGAGGGTCGGTCACACCCTCCCCTGCCCTGGTGCCAGGCTGGTGCGCACGGCTCTCTAGAGAGCTGCTTCTGCTCAGGCGGGTCCCTGGGGACGTGGCTGATGGCTCTCAAAACAATGGGCAGAGAAGGTGCCAGGGGCCGACCCTGGGACAAAGCTTTGCTGGGGTCGTGAGTGTGGCCTGATGCTGACTCTAGGAGCAACGGCCCAGGCTGGACAGTCTGGCCCTGCCCTCCATGCTCTCCCAGTGGGGAGGGGAGAGGTTTCCAGCTGTCAGCAGGAGGCCCGGCAGCCTCTCCATTGCACCCCACAGGTGCCCTCGCAGCCTGGCCTCTCCCCCGGGGGCCGCCTTCCCCTATGCACACAGCCAAGGGGGAGAGGACAGCCTCTGCCCCATCGTAGTCAGCTTAGGCTGCTGTAACAAAAATACCATAGACTGAGTGGCTGAAACAACAGAAGCATGTTTATCACAGCTGCAGAGGCCTGACGGCCCCGGTCGGGGTGCCCACACGGTCAGGTTCTGGGGAGGGCTCTTCCTGGCGTACAGACGGCAGCTTCTTGCTGTACCCTCCCACAGTAGAGTGAGGTCTGGCCTCCTCCTCTGATAAGGACGCCAATCCCATCCCCAGGGTCCCACCCTCAGGACCTCATCTGATCCCTCCCAAAGCCCCCATCTCCAAATATCACATCTGCGTGACGGCTTCAACGTAGGTATTTTGGGGTGATATAAACATTCAGTCCACAGCAGCGCCCGACCAGGACTGGGATCCTCTCTCTGCTTTTGTACTCGGGAGCCCTAGAAATGGGAGCATCGTCGTGTCTCTCAGCCCTGGAGTCGTCTAGAGCCCTCGGTCCCCCTGAGCCTGCACCTCACGCCATCCTGCGCTATCACCAGATCCTGTTCCTGAGACGTGACTCTCGGCTCCTTCAGAGGCCGCACGGCACGGCGCACAGGTTTGGGGATGGCAGACCTGGGTGGGCTCCCGGGCAAGTCACCCAAAGCCTCTCTAAACCTCAGACGTTCTCAGCTGTAAAGTGGGATAATACTTACACCCTTGGGTTGTTTTGAGGATCAACTGAGACACAGGAAAAGCAACCAGCACGTAATAGCGACTCGATAAATGCCAGCTGCGGTTAGTGCAGCCCCTCGTACCGTGTTCTGCAGCCCGGCGTGGTTTTCCTCTAGTCCCACACGATCTAATACGGTAGCCACCAGCTGCAGGTGGCTATTTAAGTGCAAACTGATTGTGATGGAATAAAATGAAAAACAGCTCTGAGGTCACACTGACCCCATTTCAGGTACTCCGTGGCCTCACGTGGCCGGTGGCTACCGCAAGGGACAGCAGAGAAATACATTTTCATCCTCACCGTGAGGTTCTGCAGGACGGCGCTCGGCCAGAGGACCCTGCCCTCAGTCTCCCCACTCAACCTGCCAACAGCCTGCTCCCCTGCTCCCCTACAGCTTCCAATCAACCCGACTGATGCACTCATGTGCCTGCCCCTCAGCGCGGCTCTATCTCCACCCCCATCCCGTCTAGCGCTCACCTCCCCTGCGATTCACTAATCCACGTTACCATCACCCGCTGAGCACCCGTGAGGGGCACAGGCCTGGCGTGACAGGACACGGATGAACAGGGTGGGGCCCAGGCCCCACTGTGCACCCCGGGATGCCCTCAACACTTGCTCCGATGTCCCCCCGCCACTGCTGGGGGGGTGCTCGGCTGCCCTGTGGGGGGGTTTGAGGGACAAATGTGCACGTGTCTCACTGATGAAACAGTGCCGTGGGGGCAGGGAGAGAAGCCAGGAGAGTGTCCACGGAACTGAGTCCTGTCCTCTACTCACAGACCACGAGGACGCGGAGCCAACGGATCTGGGGACAGGAGCAGCGTGGACCAGTCGCCCTCCAGAGGTTGGGTGAAGGGCTGTCCCTGCTGGGCCCACGAACCTCTGCCTTCCCCTTAGGGTCTGGTGCTTCCTGCTCCCCAGATCGCGCCTCGGGCAGCCTGTTTTCCCGCTACCAACCAACGCTGGCGGCACCTGGGGTCAGTTCTCCACCTCAGCCATCCCCCTGCTGCTTCAGTGTCTCTGGCTGGCAGGGGGCAGGGGGCGTTCCTAAGAGGCGAGGGCTACGGAAAGACGACACGCTCCCACTCAAATAACACATAATTGCTGCTTTCGTAAATCTCAGATCAATAAGGCAGTCATGGGCCTCTTCCAATGGGCTCGGTCTTTGTTCCCAGGTTCCAATAAAGAAAACGAAACAGGTGGTATTTTTGAAAACCCATGCGACAGCGAGCAAGCCAGCCTCTACATCACCTTGGTGCAAACACAGCCCTTCACGATCTGTGTCTAGGACAGTCCCGGGGCCCAGGGGTGGCCACTCACTTCCCTGCCTGAGATGGGCTTCCTCGGAGTGGATTTGCCCAGGGCAAGCGAGTCCTGGCTTCCCGGGCTTGGCTGCCTCATGCACCCTGCAGCCTGGAACTGCGTCCGGGTGTTAAACGATGAAGCTTCTGGGCCTAACCCAGGGCAGAAGCCACACAACTCCAGGCTTTCAGACCTCGCACCCTCTCTCTCCACCGTCAGACCTCGCACCCTCTCTCTCCACCGTCAGACCTCGCACCCTCTCTCCACCGTCAGACCTCACACCCTCTCTCCACCGTCAGACCTCACACCCTCTCTCCACCGTCAGACCTCACTCCCTCTCTCTCCACCGTCAGACCTCACTCCCTCTCTCCACCGTCAGACCTCGCACCCTCTCTCCACCGTCAGACCTCACACCCTCTCTCCACCGTCAGACCTCACACCCTCTCTCCACCGTCAGACCTCGCACCCTCTCTCTCCACCGTCAGACCTCGCACCCTCTCTCTCCACCGTCAGACCTCGCACCCTCTCTCTCCACCGACAGACCTCGCACCCTCTCTCTCCACCGTCAGACCTCACACCCTCTCTCCACCGTCAGACCTCACACCCTCTCTCCACCGTCAGACCTCACACCCTCTCTCCACCGTCAGACCTCACTCCCTCTCTCTCCACCGTCAGACCTCACTCCCTCTCTCCACCGTCAGACCTCGCACCCTCTCTCCACCGTCAGACCTCACACCCTCTCTCCACCGTCAGACCTCACACCCTCTCTCCACCGTCAGACCTCACTCCCTCTCTCTCCACCGTCAGACCTCACTCCCTCTCTCCACCGTCAGACCTCGCACCCTCTCTCCACCGTCAGACCTCGCACCCTCTCTCCACCGTCAGACCTCACACCCTCTCTCCACCGTCAGACCTCACACCCTCTCTCCACCGTCAGACCTCGCACCCTCTCTCTCCACCGTCAGAGCTCGCACCCTCTCTCTCCACCGTCAGACCTCGCACCCTCTCTCTCCACCGACAGACCTCGCACCCTCTCTCTCCACCGACAGACCTCGCACTCTCTCTCCACCGACAGACCTCGCACGCTCTCTCTCCACCGTCAGACCTCACACTCTCTCTCCACCGTCAGACCTCACTCCCTCTCTCCACCGACAGACCTCACACTCTCTCTCCACCGACAGAGCTCACACTCTCTCTCCACCGTCAGACCTCACTCTCTCTCTCCACCGTCAGACCTCCCACCCTCTCTCCACCGTCAGACCTCGCACCCTCTCTCTCCACCGTCAGACCTCACACCCTCTCTCCACCGTCAGACCTCACTCCCTCTCTCCACCGTCAGACCTCACTCCGTCTCTCCACCGTCAGACCTCGCACCCTCTCTCTCCACCGTCAGACCTCACACCCTCTCTCCACCGTCAGACCTCACTCCCTCTCTCCACCGTCAGACCTCACTCCCTCTCTCCACCGTCAGACCTCGCACCCTCTCTCCACCGTCAGACCTCGCACCCTCTCTCTCCACCGTCAGGCCTCACACCCTCTCTCCACCGTCAGACCTCACACCCTCTCTCCACCGTCAGACCTCACACCCTCTCTCCACCGTCAGACCTCACTCCCTCTCTCTCCACCGTCAGACCTCACTCCCTCTCTCCACCGTCAGACCTCGCACCCTCTCTCCACCGTCAGACCTCACACCCTCTCTCCACCGTCAGACCTCGCACCCTCTCTCTCCACCGTCAGACCTCGCACCCTCTCTCCACCGTCAGACCTCACACCCTCTCTCCACCGTCAGACCTCGCACCCTCTCTCTCCACCGTCAGACCTCGCACCCTCTCTCTCCACCGTCAGACCTCGCACCCTCTCTCTCCACCGTCAGACCTCACACCCTCTCTCCACCGTCAGACCTCGCACCCTCTCTCTCCACCGTCAGACCTCGCACCCTCTCTCTCCACCGTCAGACCTCGCACCCTCTCTCTCCACCGTCAGACCTCGCACCCTCTCTCTCCACCGTCAGACCTCGCACCCTCTCTCTCCACCGTCAGACCTCGCACCCTCTCTCCACCGTCAGACCTCGCACCCTCTCTCCACCGTCAGACCTCGCACCCTCTCTCCACCGTCAGACCTCGCACCCTCTCTCCACCGTCAGACCTCGCACCCTCTCTCTCCACCGTCAGACCTCACTCCCTCTCTCTCCACCGTCAGACCTCACTCCCTCTCTCCCGGCCGTCAGACCTCGCACCCTCTCTCCCCACTCCTGTCTCAGTCCCTCCATGTGCTTCTTTTGCAAAGAAATGTATATTCTCTCTACCCCCAAGAACACAGGGGAGGGGGTTCCCCAGGGACCTGCCCACGGGACACAGGCTTTGGGGCAGGAGAGAGCAGGGTGTGCCGTTTAGAGGTGAACTTGGACTCGGTACTCGCCTTCTGAGCCTCACTTCCTCATCTGTAAGTTGGTGGTAACAGGCCCCCCCACACCCCAGGTTGCAGATGAGGGGATCAAGGGAGACGGTCATGAAAGTGCTCAGCACCATAAAAGGTTAGGTAGGCGGCAACCTCAGACCTTTATAGCCATGCCTGTCTCAGTGAAGGCAGCCAGCATCCATCAGTCACACAAGCCACAACCCAGCACTCATCCTGGGCCCCCATCGTCCCTCCTTCCTGCCCAGATAATCCATCTCCAAGAACTCAAATCTCTCTCCAACCTCTCAATTCCCCTTCAGCCCCGTCCCTGATCTCTGCTGCCACCGCCCACGCCCACACCAAGGCCGCCCAGCAGATCTCTCTACCCCACCGCGCTGTCCTCCAGCTGGTTCCCGACATGGCAGCCAGGCCGATTTTCTCAAGAGGCAAATCTAATCATGTCACCTCTCCCATCCCTCCCAACTTAAAAGCCATCAGAGGCTTCCCGCTGCTCTGGGGTGACCACCGCCTCACTTCATACGGCATTCGGGCCGGCCCTGCCTCCTGCTCTACTTCCTCAGCCCCGACCCTCTGAGCTCCAGCCGTGTGGGCCGTTTGTCAGCCCCTGGTCCTTCTGCCACAGGACCTTTGCACGTGTTGCCCCCTCTGTGTGGCCACGCTGTCTCTTCATTAACCTACACACCCCTCGGACCTCAGCAAAAGCACCACATCTTCAAGGAAGACTTCCGCAACACTCCTTCCACAATGAGAGCCTCCAGAATGGGCTCCTGCCTCTTCTCCGCTGTCAAGGTTGTGATTTTACCCTCCGCTGTGTGGCTGCAGGGCTCCTGTGACTTCCCCTGCTGGGCCGTCATCTTCCCAAGGGCAGAGGCCACGTCTATTTCTGTTCACCCTCCTGCTCCCTGTGCCCGGCACAGTGACTATTTGCAGAAGAACGGATTGAACAAATGGAAGCTACTTAAGATATTACAGTTGAAAAAGCAAGACAGGCTCCCTCCCGGAACATGCCGACCTGCCGGGAAGACAAGCTGCACGGAGGCGTGAAGGCACTCGCTCAGCGACACGAGGCAGGGTCCAATCACGTCCACATTGAGTGATGCTGACCAGCAGGATTGTGGGAGGCCAAACCAGGGAGAGCCACACAGCGGGCAAGTGTCCGAGGAGGTGGGGTGGTGGCCAGGTGGGCCTCAGTCTCAGGGTATGGAGCATAAACCCAGGCTGGCCCGGCCACAGGGGAAATGACTCCGGGAATCCTTCACTGAGGGTGGGAAGCGGGGATGTTTACCAGACCATTCCCATGACGGCTCCTGCCTGCCTCCCCCGGGGTGCGTGCCGCGGCCGCCTATGTGTGCAGACCCGTCCCAAGGCCTGATCAGGCACCTTCCTCAATGTCCTTCTTATCCAGGGCCACTTCAGTGACATTTCTGCTTCCTGCGACTCCCCGTCCCACCCCTTCTCCTTCCCAGATGGCACCCAAGAGTCACAATGCGACAGAAGGTTCTGCTGGGCCACTCCAAAGTTCAGGTACTTCATGCCCAGGCTGGCCTTTGAGTCCTCACCGATCCATTTCATGATGAGGAATTCCACCACGCTCCCGCAGATCAGAAGACGGGAAGGGGCTTAGTGCCAATGTAGGGGGAGGGAAGGAAACTGCTCTGAAAGCAGACGCCGCCATCTCACAGCACCCGCGGTCTGGAGTCAGTCACTGGCAGCCTCACACTCCTGGACGGGCCGGGACAGCTTCACAGCGTCACCATCCATGGCACAGAGAGGGCTGTTCATGAGCCTCACTCGACCGAAAAGGGTGAAACTGCGCTCAAACGTCCTGTACAAGGAGGCCTGGACCATCCATGGCACAGAGAGGGCTGTTCATGAGCCTCACTCGACCGAAACGGGTGAAACTGCCCTCAAACGTTGCGTACAAGGAGGCCTGGAAAACGTACGCTGTGCTGTGGAGATGAACACTGAAGATGGCTGGTTTAAACGTGTGGAGCTTCAATTCACAAACATGTTTTCTATACTGTAGGGAAGGCATTATTCTAAGAATGCCGAAAACAAACAAGACACGGCCCTTTGTCCTCAAAGAGTGTCCCATTGAACGGAGTAGTTTATCCATTAGCAAAACTCAGGGCCAGGTGCGGTGGATCCTGCCTGCAATCCCAGTGCTTTGGGAGGCCGAGGTGGGGGGATTTCTTGAGGCCAGAAGTTCAAGACCAGCCTGGGCAACACAATGAGACTCCCCCACCCCCCATCTCATTTTAAAAAATAATAAAATAAAATAGCAATCTTTTATCTGGAAAATTACTTTCCTGAGAGTTCCAGTGAGTTGAAATCGGCAGGTGAGCTGGTTTCTCATTGGGAACCGCGCTGCAGACGGTGCTTACAGAGGGGTCATCCCCCTGCCCCGATAAAATAGGATAAGAAATAGCTACGTCTGAATGGCCTCGGTGCATGCACAAAGCAGCATAATGAGAGCCTCCACGTGTGTGTTTCATGCCACACAATGTGCTCCTGATGCCAGAAACCAAATCTTCAAAAGGGAAAATCTTACTAGGTTTAGGGGAGAGCTTTGCAGCAACAAAGACGATGATGATGTAAATAGAAAAGTGACGAAATGACAACGAAGCTGTGTGGGGCAATATTCACCATAAGCTGTTAAGTTAAAAAAAGCACGTTGGAAACAGTCTGCATAGCAGGGCGCTCCACCACGTAAATATGTAGATGTGCCTACATCTATGGAGGAGTCTATATATACACAGAGGACAATCTAGAAAGATATCAGCCCAAATGGAAATCAAACTGTGCAAAGTCAAAATCTATTTTAAATGGATAAGCAGAATTCCTATTTAAAGGAAGCTTATGCTAAATGCTTTGGAAAGTCACTTGCCCCAACTTCATTTTTTGACCAGGTCTGGATTTTTGCAGGTCAGGATGGATTAAAGCAGCTGAAAGTGTCCACGCAGACAGGCAGGAGACAGCCACAGTGGCTGACTGTGGCTCAATTGTAATCAGGCCTGTGCACCCCCACAGCGGGTCCCAGATGGTGTCCCCGGGTCACCGGCCCCTCCGATCATAAGCTCAGCCCTGCTCAGCCCCTGAAGTGCCATCCGCCAGGCTTGGAGAAGCATCACCTGCCCCAGTGGGCCAGCAGCGGAAAGGCTGGATACAGCTCTGTTGCTATAGACGCTGTCTGGAACCCAGGCCCTGCTGCCAAATGACTTTAAACGTATAGACAGTTCAGATATTGATGTATATAATTACAAATATTTATATACTTTCTCGGGTACTTATGCTTACACTAGGCACCAAGCTAGCTGTTTTATGCAGAATCTCATTTAATTTTCAAAACAGCCCTATGGGGTGGGTATGACTGTTCCTGTTTTACACAAGGGATCTGAGACTTGAGGTTAAGCAGCTCGACGTGGGGACCTGGGATGCGAACCCTGTTCAGTCTGAGCCTCGGTCCCGGGCTCCTGCTGCCCCAGCCGGGCCTGGCTGCCTGGCTAGCACACTCTTGCAGGCCCTCATCCTCCCGCCTGGACCCAACTTCACCCTCCCCACCCCGAGGTAAGGCAAGGCTGGATCCCTGGGCCCTCTCCTCTTCCAGAACGACAGATGAGGTCAAGCTTCAAGTGGGAGGGGCACAGCCAGGCCCCTCTTCCCATTCGTTAGGACACAGCCCGGGGGCCAGCAGCGCTGGGAGCACGCCGAGCCCTGGACCTTACCCCGACTACCCACAAATACCAAGTCACAGAAGGCCCCAAGGAGGCACAGCCTTAATGCCAGCCACCTGCTGCCGGGTCTGAGACAGAAGCCAGAGGCAAGTGGAGAAACATTTCAGGAGGAAGGCAAGTCTCCCTGGACTTCCCACCCCACGTCCTCCATCCTGGCTGCTGGCGGCTCCCAGGGGAACCAGCCACTCAGGGCCGAGCCGCCTCTCTTTACCAAGGCTTCCGGCAGGCCCTTCCCCTCCATCGGAAGAGCCTCTGACATGGCCTGGGGACCACCTGCGAGCCTCAGGCCTGTGCCAGCCCCCAGCCACCTCTCCCAGTTGAAAGCAAGCACCATCATTTCCTGTGGCTTTCAAGCTCGGCTTCCAAAACACCAAACACCTCCTCCCTCCGCCTGCCACTCATGCAGTTACCACTGCGTCCCGAGTGGAGAGGAGGGTTAAAAAAGGCAACAGCATCAGCTGTTGACTATTAACATTCACAGAGCACATAATAAGAAATCATGACTTGGACGGGGCTTCGGATCATTTCTGCACTCGTGCCTCTGCGAGTGTCAGTCTCAGGGAAATCGGGGTATTCAGACGAGATGAAGCCGCCAGGATGGCTGGGGGCCGGGGCTCCGGGGGTGGGGCAGCGGGGTCCAGGGGCCTCAGTTAACCCCTTCCCGGTCCTGGTTAACCTCTGCATCCCCTCAGTCCCAGAGAGGTTTCTGCATCTTTTCCGGCAGGACACGGGAAACAGGAGGTTTGAGCCATCGAGAACTGGGCTGAGGGCCGTGCAGCACCGGTGATGGGAGCACGGTGCACTCAACAGGAGCTTCGGCCAAGGGGTGGATGGGATGGCTAAATCAGAAGGTGGGAGGAGGGTTTTTAAAAACCAGCAAATCTGGTCGGGCGCGGTGGCTCACGCCTGTAATCCCAGCAATTTGGGAGGCTGAGGTGGGCGGATCGCCTGAGGTCAGGAGTTCAACACCAACCTGGCCAACAAGGCGAAACCCCGTCTCTACTAAAAATACAAAAATTAGCCGGGCGCGGTGGTACTCACCCGGAATCCCAGCTACTTGGTGGCTGAGGTAGGAGAACTGCTTGAAACCAGAAGTCGGAAGTTGCAGTGAGCTGAGATTGCACCACTGCATTACAGCCTGGGTGACAGAGCAAGACTCGGTCTCAAAAAAATAAAATAAAAATAAAACCCAGCAAATCTAATAATGTTCAATCAAAGGGGAAAGCACAGGACGTGGGGCTTGGTCTCCAGGGGTTCCTGAGTTCATTCAGCATCTGTGGAGGACACAGTGGTGCCAGGTACGAGCCCAGTGTGAGGTGTGAGGTGTGAGGAGTGCTGATGGGATGAAGAGACGTACAAACGCCAGCATGGGATGGACCACTTGAGCCCAGGTGATCAAGACCAGCCTGGGCAACATAGCAAGACCCCGTCTCTACAAAAAAAAAAATACAAAAATTAGCCGAGCATGCTGGTGCACACCTGCAGTCACAGCTACTTGGAAGAATCGTTTGAGCTCAGAAGGTCGAGGCTGCAGTGAGTTGTGATTGCACCACAGCACTGCAGCCTGGGTGACAGAGTGAGACCCAGACTCGAATTTTAAAAAGGCCAACCTGAGTGGACACAGCATTAAGTCTGACCAGGACTGAAGAACACCTGTGCAGAAATGGACGGCAGAGGGAATGCACATCAGTGTGGGAGGGACAGAGGAGCTGCAGAAATGGATGGACAGAGGGAATGCACATCAGTGTGGGAGGGACACAGATGCTGCAGAAATGGACAGCAGAGGGAATGCACACAGTGTGGGAGGGACAGAGATGCTGCAGAAATGGACGGGCAGAGGGAATGCACATCAGTGTGGGAAGGACAGAAGAGCTGCAGAAATGGACGGGCAGAGGGAATGCACATCAGTGTGGGAGGGACAGAGGGAATGCACATCAGTGTGGGAGGGACAGAGGAGCTGCAGAAATGGATGGACAGAGGGAATGCACATCAGTGTGGGAGGGACAGAGATGCTGCAGAAATGGACAGCAGAGGGAATGCACATCAGTGTGGGAGGGACAGAGATGCTGCAGAAATGGATGGACAGAGGGAATGCACATCAGTGTGGGAGGGACACAGATGCTGTAGAAATGGAAAGCAGAGGGAATGCACATCAGTGTGGGAGGGACAGAGATGCTGCAGAAATGGACGGGCAGAGGGAATGCACATCAGTGTGGGAAGGACAGAGGAGCTGCAGAAATGGACGGGCAGAGGGAATGCACATCAGTGTGGGAGGGACAGAGGGAATGCACATCAGTGTGGGAGGGACAGAGGAGCTGCAGAAATGGATGGACAGAGGGAATGCACATCAGTGTGGGAGGGACACAGATGCTGCAGAAATGGACAGCAGAGGGAATGCACATCAGTGTGGGAGGGACAGAGATGCTGCAGAAATGGACGGGCAGAGGGAATGCACATCAGTGTGGGAGGGACAGAGGAGCTGCAGAAATGGACGGGCAGAGGGAATGCACATCAGTGTGGGAGGGACAGAGGAGCTGCAGAAATGGATGGACAGAGGGAATGCACATCAGTGTGGGAGGGACAGAGGAGCTGCAGAAATGGATGGACAGAGGGAATGCACATCAGTGTGGGAGGGACACAGATGCTGCAGAAATGGAAAGCAGAGGGAATGCACATCAGTGTGGGAGGGACAGAGGAGCTGCAGAAATGGATGGGCAGAGGGAATGCACATCAGTGTGGGAGGGACAGAGGAGCTGCAGAAATGGACAGCAGAGGGAATGCACATCAGTGTGGGAGGGACACAGATGCTGCAGAAATGGATGGACAGAGGGAATGCACATCAGTGTGGGAGGGACACAGATGCTGCAGAAATGGAAAGCAGAGGGAATGCACATCAGTGTGGGAGGGACAGAGGAGCTGCAGAAATGGACGGGCAGAGGGAATGCACATCAGTGTGGGAGGGACAGAGATGCTGCAGAAATGGATGGACAGAGGGAATGCACATCAGTGTGGGAGGGACACAGATGCTGCAGAAATGGAAAGCAGAGGGAATGCACATCAGTGTGGGAGGGACAGAGGAGCTGCAGAAATGGACGGGCAGAGGGAATGCACATCAGTGTGGGAGGGACAGAGGAGCTGCAGAAATGGACAGCAGAGGGAATGCACATCAGTGTGGGAGGGACAGAGATGCTGCAGAAATGGATGGACAGAGGGAATGCACATCAGTGTGGGAGGGACACAGATGCTGCAGAAATGGAAAGCAGAGGGAATGCACATCAGTGTGGGAGGGACAGAGGAGCTGCAGAAATGGACGGGCAGAGGGAATGCACTTCAGTGTGGGAGGGACAGAGGAGCTGCAGAAATGGACGGGCAGAGGGAATACACATCAGTGTGGGAGGGACAGAGGAGCTGCAGAAATGGATGGACAGAGGGAATGCACATCAGTGTGGGAGGGACAGAGGAGCTGCAGAAATGGATGGACAGAGGGAATGCACATCAGTGTGGGAGGGACAGAGGAGCTGCAGAAATGGATGGACAGAGGGAATGCACATCAGTGTGGGAGGGACAGAGGAGCTGCAGACATGAACGGGCAGAGGGAATGCACATCGGTGTGGGAGGGACAGAGGAACTGTCCTCACGGGGCTGGAGGACACAGCCAGGAGCAGCTCCTGGACCAGCTCCACCTTGGTAATGAGATTCAGGATGTCAAGCCCAGAGGCCAGGCGAGTCCCTCACGAGCTCGTTTCCGCCGATGGCTCGCCATGGCCACCACCGGTTGCACCTTCACCTCTGAGGGGCTGTGGGGGCAGTCAGAACCCGCAGGGCCCAAAGACGGGCTGTTCAACGTCACGCCCGCTTTTTTCAAACACACAATATTGTTTTGAAACTTCAAGTCACATATGAAAAAAAGGGTGTGGAAGGGTTCTACGTGTATCAAAAGGGAGCCTGGGTTTTGAAACGTGGATCAATGCTGCTCTAACGTCCTGCCGGAGAAGGAAAAGGAACCCACCAGCTCCGCTCAGGAGGCCTCTTGGGGGTCTCCAGAATCATCCCCTTCAAGCATCCAAGGGGACAAGGCTGGGTCTCGTGGGGCATTGTGTGAGGACAAACCGTAACACCGATTTTCCCCAGGGGGTGAGTGAGGACTGGAAATCAACATGCATCCATAGCCACCCCTCTGCGGAGAGTTCCATCAGGAGCTCTGGAACACAACCCTCTCCAAGCCAACGTGATGAAGACTCCACAAAAACCCAAGACGTCGGGGCTTGGGGTGATTCCAGATATAGCTGAACACGTGGAGGTTCTTGAGGGGAGGCCCCAGAGGGGATCCAACAGCCCCTCGCCTATCCCCACATGCCCCACCCAGGGCACCTCTCCCATCTGGCGGCTGCCTTGTTCATCTGTGCACTTTGTAATATCCTTCGTCATAAACCAGTCAACATAAGCAAAGTGTTTCTCTGCGAGTTCTGTGAGCCACTCTAGCAAATTATCGAACCCAAAGTATGGGTTGTGGGAACCCCGATTCACAGCCAGCTGCTCAGAAGTTCCAGAGGTCTGGACGTGTGACTGGCATCTGAGGCGGGGGACAGTCCTGGGACCGAGCCCTCGTCCTGCGGGATCTGATGCTACCTCCGGGTAGACAGCGTCTGAACTGAGCACAGCCCACTGGAGAATGTGCTGCGGATCGGGCGTGGGTGGGAGAAATCCACACACATCTTGGTGACCAGAGGTCCCAGGAGTGTGCTGTGTTGAGTAACTGTAAGAGAATAGGAAAAACCACTTTGCTTGGTGTTTTCCTCTATTTTCAGAGCCTGATGCCCAAGACACTGAAGTCCTGTGCTTCCGGAAGGCTTAAAACCTCCCAGGAGGGTGAGGCAGCAGCCTCGGTCCTCTCTCCACCATCCCCTTCCCTAGAATCTGGTGAAGAGCAAGGTTGGTCACAGGTCAGGGCTGATGTTGCCAAGGGCATTCCGCAAACACTTGTAAGTCCCCGTTACTCCCGGGCCCTGGACTAGCCAGCGGACAGGGAGGCTTCACGAGCTGATGGGGAGAGAGGCAAGAAAATGACACACGGACGAACATGCAAACTTCCCTCCCTGGCCCCCACCTCTCTCTAGTCCTGTCCCCACCGGCCTTGCCAAGCCCACCACGCCAGCCCCACACTTTGCTGTCCTCTCCCAACCCTCTAGCCACCTCTCTGCCTCCGTGCCCTGTGGCTCACACCTGGCAAACTTCTACACATCCTTCAGGAACCCTGACATTTCCTCCTCCATGACCCAGTGCCAGGGTCCACCAGAAACTGAGTCAGCACAGACCACCCAGCCAAAGTCAGGAGACCGTCCACGTCCTCCAGCTCTGCCCCCACCAGCTCAGTGTGGGGTGCTGGGGCCCCTCAGTAGCCCTCCCCCGACCCCAATCTCAGGGGTAGAGCACCGGCCTCTCTGATGTTCCAGGATTATCATAACTCTTAAAAGGTCAGTCCGTAAAAATACCCTCTCCCTTCCCTGTGTTCGTTCCCATGCCTGGGATACAGTCAACAGTCTCCAAGCCAGGCTGGGCACGGTGGCTCACGCCTGTAATCCTGGCATTTTGGGAGGCTGAAGTGGGCAGATCACTTGAGGTCAGGAGTTTGAGACCAGCCTGGTCAATACAGCGAAACCCCATCTCTACTAAAAATACAAAAAAAAAAAAATTAGCCAGGCATGGAGGCACACTCCTGTAGCCCTAGCTACTCGGGAGGCTGAGGCAGGAGAATCACTTGAACCCGGGAGGCGGAGGTTGCAGTGAGCCGAGATCAGGCCACTGCGCTCCAGCCTGGGTGACAAAGGGAGACGTTATCTCAAAAAAAAACAAAAAAATTCCCAGCCAGCAAATACATGTTATTGGAACTTATCTTTTATCTGAAAAATACAGCAGACTAGACAAACATTGTAGAATTTCTTAATATTCTAACAGCAACAGCACACTAGCGATCCCTTAGGGACCCTGGTTATGCACAGAACGGAGCTCCAAGGAGGGGGACGGCAGGTCGGGGCCGGGGGAGCCAGGCCTGGCCCTGGGCCTTAGAAATCCCAGCTGGGGATTTCACTCACGCTGCTCAAGTCAGCAGGCTGCAGCCGGGGAATGAACTGAGGGCCTCGGATACCACGTGGGGGTGTTTTCGACTTTATGCTGCTGGCAGTAGGGAGCCACTGAAGGCTTCGGGGGGAGGGAGGGGGACAGTGACCTAATCGGAGCTGCACTTGAACAAGCAGAGGAGTAGAGGATGCACTGGAAAGCGAATGAGACTCGTCCACAGTCTGGAACCCAGTGGGGGCCCTGCAATGGCCCAGCAGCCCCTCCCCTGGGTTGGCAACCCAGGTACTCAGGCCTCACTCCCTGCAGGGCCCGAATGCCGCTGCTGTCTGAGCCTGTATGTGGTTCCTGGGCAGAAGGTCTCACCCTTCTCTGCCTCAGTTTATCCATCTGTAACCTGGGGCAGACCCCTCCCTCCCTCCCTCCCACGGAAGGCAGGACAAGGGTAAGAGGAGAGTCTGGAAGGAGAGGGCTAAAGGGGCCTCCGGTGAGGGCCTGATTCTCAGTGTTGAGGCCCAGGCTAAAAGGACCCTGGGGGAAATGAACCCGCTCCCTCTTTTCCACTCAGCTTCCCCATCAGCAGAAGAGCTGCCCCCCGTGTCCTCCCACAGGGAACAAGACAGGCCAAGTCCATCCCCAGTTAAGGTCCGTGAACAGCAAACAGCTGCAGGGAAATGTCCCAGCGGGAAGCACAGGGGCGACTGGAGGCCGGTGAAGAATCGCAGGCCTCCCGAAGTGTGCCAGCTTGCAGGGCACGGCCGACGAGGTGTGCGGCACGGGGCCGCGCCAGACTGCAAATGTCATTATCTGTTATTTACCACAACAGAGGACGAGAGGCTGCACAAAATTACCGCACTTGGCAACGGCCGCTGAGTGGATTTGCCAACGATGCTTCTTCCTGCTGCCAGAGGCTACACTGACCAGACCCAGGGAAGACGGCCACTGAGCCTAGGGGGCAGGTGTCCCGGGGGAGAAGGAGTCCCTGCAGGACAGCCCTGACCAGTGTCCCAGGTACCCCAGCCTAGGCCCGCAGAATCTCTCACCCGCTCTAGCAGGGGCTGGCCCAGCCTAGGCCTGCAGAATCTCTCACCCACTCTAGAAGGGGCTGGCCCAGCCTAGGCCTGCAGAATCTCTTACCCGCTCTAGCAGGGGCTGGCCCAGCCTAGACCTGCAGAATCTCTCACCCGGTCTAGCAGGGGCTGGCCCATAGGCCTGCAGAATCTCTCACCCGCTCTAGCAGGGGCTGGCCCAGCCTAGACCTGCAGAATCTCTCACCCACTCTAGAAGGGGCTGGCCCAGCCTAGACCTGCAGAATCTCTCACCCGCTCTAGCAGGGGCTGGCCCAGCCTAGACCTGCAGAATCTCTCACCCACTCTAGCAGGGGCTGGCCCATAGGCCTGCAGAATCTCTCACCCGCTCTAGCAGGGGCTGGCCCAGCCTAGGCCCGCAGAATCTCTTACCCGCTCTAGCAGGGGCTGGCCCAGCCTAGGCCTGCAGAATCTCTCACCCGCTCTAGCAGGGGCTGGCCCAGCCTAGACCTGCAGAAGCTCTCACCCACTCTAGCAGGGGCTGCCACAGCCTAGGCCTGCAGAATCTCTCACCCACTCTAGCAGGGGCTGGCCTCACAGTGAGGCTGGGCCGTGACTCCTCCACGTATCCAACTATTGTCTAGCCAATGCAAAGGTGGGACAGACCAGGGCAAGGCCTCAGGCCCACTCTGTAGGGGCGCTGCCTCAGGGGGGCCCAGGGCTGGGTGCTACCTCTCACTCTGGATGCTCCGCCATAGGGGCTGCAATCCCTTCCCCAGCATCGTGGGCACGTAGCCGTCGGCCACCTCATTTCATCGGCCACCTTATTCGAAAGTGGGACGAGACATCACCTTCCTTTGGGGTCTCCTGCTCATCTTTAGATCTCTTTACATCTTAAAAGGTACATAGGCAAAGTTCTCTGGGCTTTTTTTTCTTGAGACAGGGTCTCACGCTGTCACCTAGGCTAGAGTGCAGTGGCGGGAGCACGGCTCACTGTAGCTTTAACCTCCCAGGCTTAAGCAATCCTCCCACCTCAGCCTCCCCAGTAGTTGAGATTATGGGTGCGCACCACCGTGCCTGGCTAATTTTTGTATTTTTTTGTAGAGAGGGGGTTTTGCCTTGTTGCCCGGGCTGGTCTCAAACTCCTGGGCTCAAGGGATCCTCCTGCCTTGGCCTCCCAAGTAGCTGGGACTGCAGGGGCACCACCAGGCCCACCTAATTTTTTTCATTTTTTATTAAAACAGGGTCTCGCTTTATTGCCTGGGCTGGTCTCAAACTCCTGGCTTCCAGTGATCCTCCTACCTCGGCCTCCCAAAGTCCTGGAATTACAGGTGTGACCCACCGCGCCCGGCCTGTAGGCAAAGTCCTGAGCCGAGCTGTGACCACGCCTGGCCTGTAGGCAAAGTTCTGACCCGAGCCGTAGGAGTCATTGCAAGGCACTGGCTGTGTCATCGAGAGGGAGTCATCCCTCTGAGCGTCTGTGTCTCCATCTGGAAAACGAGTATGAACACTGCCTTGCCTTTTGCCTGCCCATCTCCTGGGGGCCATGAGGGACACATGACATCATGGAAATGTCAGGCACAGCGGCTCTCAGAAGCACCCCCACCCTGACTTCCTCCCGCTCAGAGGGCACAGACTCACTACGGCCTGAGCCAAAGCGAACTGGGCGGCAAACCTGCCACAGCTTTAAAATAACCACAATCGAGCTGTGTCCCAGAGGCACAGAGGCGAGAGCTTCGGCTCCCAGCCCAGCTGCTGCCACTGCGGCATCTGCGGACTGCGAGGCTGCAAGGCCTGGACTGAGCCCGAGCTGCCTGGGAGGAAACCGCAGGCAGGCCCGAGAGAGTCTCTCGTCCAGCCTTTGCCTGTCACTGGAAGGCCAGAGAGGGAAACAGATTTTCATCTGAGGTCACGCAGGAGGTTCTGAGCACAGCTGTCTCCCGACTCTCGCAGGTGTAGCAGGCCAGGCAGGTCCACGGAGTCACCCCGCCCCACCCACTACGTCCGTCCTTCGATTTACACAAGGTCCAAGGAGCCGTTGCAGGGAATGAACTTGAGCCACGCCTTCAGCTGGATTTCAGACGTGGGCAGGTGTGTCTGTGTGCGGTGCGGGGAGGAGAGAGGAAGCCATCGGAGCCACACTGCAGAGAGGGCCGTGTCCCCAGGAGAGATTCGGACCCCAGGACGAGGCTAAGCTCAACGGGAAACAGGATGGGAGGCGCCCGCCGTCGAGGGAGGGTGGATCCAGGCCCGGCCCTCCCGGCTGCCACCCACACTCACCCCAGGCCTGCCCAGCAGGTGTGTGAGCCGCCTGGAAAAGGGGAGCTACAGGGAAGGGTGAAAAAGCCCCGAATACAACACAGCTCCTAAAACTGGAATTCGATTTACATGTATAGTCATGGGACGATGTTTTTGATATCTTATTAAGTGGAAAAAGAAGATGAAAAAAGGAGTGTACATAGGCATCCACCCTGCGAACATTTGTGTGAGTGCGAAGAGACAGAGAAGGTGGGAGAAGGACAAACACCCAGACCCCGAAGGTCAGGGGCGGGAGCTTCGCATTTCACACACACCTCTGGTGTTTGACTTATTTTTTAGGGTTGGAATATCCTTGATATGTCATGTCTATGAGGCATCCAAGTCAGACAATAAACTTGGCAGTTCTCTATAAGGTTCGAGGTGGAGATAAAGTCTGAGGTTTACAAAGTTAAGAACTAACAACGTAACTGTATCGTTAAGGTTGGCGGCTCATGCCTGCATCCCAGCAGTTTCAGAGGCTGAGCAGGAGGATCGCCTGAGGAGTCTGAGGCAGCCTGGGCAACATAACAAGGCCCAGTCTCCACAAAAAATGAGAAATTAGCCAGGAGTGGTGGCGCACACCTGTAGTCCCAGCTGCCCGGGAGGCTGAGGTGGGAGGATCACTGGAGCCCAGAGGGGTGAGGCTGCCGTGAGCTAAGATCACACCGCTGCACTCCAGCCGGGGCAGCACAGCGAGACCCTGTCTCAAAAAAACAATCACGAAAAAAAAAAAGATTTAACAACTTTGCAATGAGTTAGATCACCCAGCAGTTATAAGAAAGAGGTTGGGGGGCAGGGAGGAAGGCTGTACTGAGGTTTTAATAATTATTGAGCAGTGACCGTGTCTCAGGAAAGAGATGGGGAGGGAGGAAGGCTGTACTGAGGTTTTAATAATTATTGAGCAGTGACCGTGTCTCAGGAAAGAGATGGGGAGGGAGGGAGGCTGTACTGAGGTTTTAATAATTATTGAGCAGTGACCGTGTCTCAGGAAAGAGATGGGGAGGGAGGGAGGCTGTACTGAGGTTTTAATAATTATTGAGCAGTGACCGTGTCTCAGGAAAGAGATGGGGAGGGAGGGAGGCTGTACTGAGGTTTTAATAATTATTGAGCAGTGACCGTGTCTCAGGAAAGAGATGGGGAGGGAGGGAGGCTGTACTGAGGTTTTAATAATTATTGGGCAGTGACCGTGTCTCAGGAAAGAGGTGGGGAGGGAGGGAGGCTGTACTGAGGTTTTAATAATTATTGAGCAGTGACCGTGTCTCAGGAAAGAGATGGGGAGGGAGGGAGGCTGTACTGAGTTTTAATATTTATTGAGCAGTGACCGTGTCTCAGGAAAGAGATGGGGAGGGAGGGAGGCTGTACTGAGGTTTTAATAATTATTGGGCAGTGACCGTGTCTCAGGAAAGAGATGGGGAGGGAGGGAGGCTGTACTGAGGTTTTAATAATTATTGGGCAGTGACCGTGTCTCAGGAAAGAGATGGGGAGGGAGGGAGGCTGTACTGAGGTTTTAATAATTATTGAGCAGTGACCGTGTCTCAGGAAAGAGATGGGGAGGGAGGGAGGCTGTACTGAGGTTTTAATAATTATTGAGCAGTGACCGTGTCTCAGGAAAGAGATGGGGAGGGAGGGAGGCTGTACTGAGGTTTTAATAATTATTGAGCAGTGACCGTGTCTCAGGAAAGAGATGGGGAGGGAGGGAGGCTGTACTGAGGTTTTAATAATTATTGAGCAGTGACCGTGTCTCAGGAAAGAGGTGGGGAGGGAGGGAGGCTGTACTGAGGTTTTAATAATTATTGAGCAGTGACCGTGTCTCAGGAAAGAGATGGGGAGGGAGGCTGTACTGAGGTTTTAATAATTATTGAGCAGTGACCGTGTCTCAGGCACCGTTTTAAGAGTTTATCACATACTTTCCTCATTGCAATCCTTGCAACCGCCCCCGAGATAGGTATTATTATTCCCGACTTCCAGGTGAGAGACCTGAAGCAGACAGAGGTGAGGGAATGAGCCCAGGCCGGGAGGACGCAGGGAGGCAGAATCCAGCGTTCTAAACCTCTGCACAGTCCTGTAAGTTACTTTTTAAAATTCCGTCGAGAGGAAACTAGTAAGACCAAGAGAAGCTAACTCATTAAAGTCTGTAATCTGCTGAGGCTCAAACAACTGAGGCACTGAGGCTGGTACCCCAGGCCACCCCCACCAACAACATAACCAGAGGGGAAGGAAGTCAGGCCCCTTCTCACTCTGAGCAGCTGGTGCCTGGGATTTTAGGCTGTCACGACGATTCCACCCGGCCAGGGCAGGCCCGAACCGGCCGGAGGCCACAGGAGAACCAATGAGCCTGGCTGGACTCCTGCAAACCTTGAGGGACGCCGAGATTCACATTCACTGAATTTTCATGCCACGTGACACTCTTCTTCTTTTGTTCCCTCCCGCCCTGCCCCACGGAGCCATTTACAAACATAAAACCATTTTTAAACCATTTTTAAATGGTTTAAAACCTGTTTCTGTACCAAGTGGTACAGAAATAGGGGCCAGCCCCCGGTCCAGCGCCACGAGCTCCTAGGGCCAGAGTGCAAGAGAGGCACAGGGCGGGAGGGGGACAGGGCGAGAGGGGGACAGGGCGGGAGGGGGACAGGGCGAGAGGGGGACAGGGCGGGAGGGGGACAGGGCGGGAGGGGGACAGGGCGGGAGGGGGACAGGGCGAGAGAGGGGACAGGGCGAGAGAGGGGACAGGGCGAGAGGGGGACAGGGCGGGAGGGGGACAGGGCGGGAGGGGGACAGGGCGGGAGGGGGACAGGGCGAGAGAGGGGACAGGGCGAGAGGGGGGACAGGGCGAGAGAGGGGACAGGGCGGGAGGGGGACAGGGCGAGAGGGGGACAGGGCGAGAGAGGGGACAGGGCGAGAGAGGGGACAGGGCGGGAGGGGGACAGGGCGAGAGGGGACAGGGCGGGAGGGGGACAGGGCGAGAGGGGGACAGGGCGAGAGAGGGGACAGGGCGAGAGGGGGGACAGGGCGGGAGGGGGACAGGGCGAGAGGGGGACAGGGCGAGAGAGGGGACAGGGCGAGAGAGGGGACAGGGCGGGAGGGGGACAGGGCGAGAGGGGACAGGGCGGGAGGGGGACAGGGCGAGAGGGGGACAGGGCGAGAGAGGGGACAGGGCGAGAGGGGGGACAGGGCGAGAGGGGGACAGGGCGGGAGGGGGACAGGGCGAGAGAGGGGACAGGGCGGGAGGGGGACAGGGCGGGAGAGGGGACAGGGCGAGAGAGGGGACAGGGCGAGAGGGGGACAGGGCGGGAGGGGGACAGGGCGGGAGGGGGACAGGGCGAGAGGGGACAGGGCGAGAGGGGACAGGGCGAGAGGGGGACAGGGCGAGAGGGGGACAGGGCGAGAGAGGGGACAGGGCGAGAGGGGGACAGGGCGGGAGGGGGACAGGGCGGGAGGGGACAGGGCGGGAGGGGAACAGGGCGGGAGGGGACAGGGCGAGAGGGGGACAGGGCGAGAGAGGGGACAGGGCGAGAGGGGACAGGGCGGGAGGGGGACAGGGCGAGAGGGGGACAGGGTCATCAGGGTGCTTAGGGTGGGCTCCGGGGCGTCTGCACCACCAGGCGCACAGCCCAGGAGGTGGCAGGAGTCATCCGTTCTGGAAACAGCCAGAGGTACAACCTCGTGTCCAGGCACCGGCCGAGTTGGGACTCAGGGTCAAAGCCAAGCTGAGGCAACGTCGAGATGGAGCGTAACAGCCCTCAGCCTGCACCTGCCACACTGCGGAGGCCCCACAGGGACAATCCGGGAGGGTGGGGTGGTGCCTGCCTGGCAGCTGCGGGGGCTGGGTAGGGAAGGGCTACTCCACCCTGGAGGCCCAGCTCACACCAACCTCCTAGCCCCTGACGTCCCACCAGGCAGCTTCACAAGGTTACAGGTCGGTTCCTTCTCCACTGGATTCCTCCCACATCGGGTGACCTGACCACACACACGGCAGGTGCCCAGCGGTGGTCCCAGCCCCAACATCTCAAGAGCAGGACACCGAGTGGAGATACTAGGTCACAGGAATGTCTCCACACAGACATTCAGGCAGGTTCGAGGGAAGAAGACAGCTTCCCGGCCACTCTCCCACCACGCCCACACCCGGTGGGCTCCTCTCCTCAACCTGGGCCCACATTCTCTCCCAGGTTACTCACATCACTCAGTCATCCCTCACATCACTCACATCGCCCCATGACATCCGCCTCTGAGCTGCCAGCCTCCCTCCCCAGCCCCTTTCTTCCTTCCCTCCCTCCCTCCCTCCTTTCTTTTTTTTGAAACAGGTCACCCAGGCTGGAGTTCAGTGGCACAATCTTGACTCACTGCAGCCTCCGCCTCTGGGGCTCAAGCCTTCCAGGCTCAAGCAATCCTCAGCCTCAGCCTCCCAAGTAGTTGGAAACGTAACTGGGCACCACCATGCCCAGCTATTTTTTTTTTTTTTTTCAGTAGAGATGAGGTCTCACTACATTACCCAGGCTGGTCTCAGACTCCTGGTCTCAAGCAATCTTCTCACCTTGGCCTCCCAAAGTGCTAGGATTACAGGTGTGAGCCACTGCGCCCGACTTCCCCAGCCCCTTTCTGACCCACAGCCTGGGATCCAGCCTGGACTACCTGGAACACATACCCAGCCCCCCTGGAACCCCAGCTCCACCGCCAACATGCCCCACGAGCCCCTTCCCCACATCTGCTCCCACCCCAGACCAGCCCTCCACGCAGGCCCCACGCACGTGCGCAGCCTGGCCGGTAAGGCCATCAGACCCAGCCGGTAAGGCCATCAGACCCAGCACTGGCCCGCCGTGTGACCTGGCAAGGGACTAACCTCCACCTCGCCTCCGTTTCTTCACCTGCAACGAGGAGACCGTGACCTCCCAGGTGGTTTTGCTAATCAGCTGGGTGCTTGGTACCCCTAGAGTGAGCTCTCCACCGCTGGCAGCTTTATCGTGGCTAACTCCTGTCTTCAGAGTCTCCATCTTGGCTGCTCCTGCCTTAATTCAGGCCTTCATTATGGCGAATTGGATAATTAGTATCCACGAATCCTCTGCATCTGGACTTAACCTCCCCACGGGCCCATGAGACTGTCGTTTCCCTGCTTAGTCCCTTGGATGGCTCTGCTGCCTACAGGACACAAGCCCAGCCCCTGCGCCTGGCACACAGAGTCCTCCCGATCCTCACGTCTCTCTCCTTCCCTCCCTCCCCACCTGCTTCTTACCCCTCAGGGCCTCTTTTCCTCCCCCCTCTGACCTCCTCTTCTTCCCTTTTCCTCTCTTCCTCTCCTTCTCATGCCCCAGCTTAACCAGACTCCCAGCTGCGCCCGATGCCCCCACACTTCCTGGGCACACTGCCTCTGCCGAGCTGTGCCTGCTCCTGAAGTGCCCTCTCCTGGCACCTGGTCACCCACCCTCCAGGCCCGGCTGCCACATCTGCTCCACTCTGCAGCCCGGGGGCCTCCCCCACCTCCCCAGGTGCCGCAGCTCACCCATGGCAGGTCCTCCCCACGGCAGGCCCATCCCATGGCAGGCCTGTCCCACAGCAGATCCTCCCCATGGCAGGTCCTCCCCATGGCAGGCCCATCCCACGGCAGATCCTCCCCGCGGCAGGTCCTCCCCACGGCAGGTCCATCCCACGGCAGGTCCATCCCGCGGCAGGTCCATCCCACGGCAGGTCCTCCCCACGGCAGGTCCTCCCCGCGGCAGGTCCATCCTACGGCAGGTCCATCCCACGGCAGGTCCATCCCGCGGCAGGTCCTCCCCACGGCAGATCCTCCCCACGGCAGGTCCTCCCCACAGCAGGTCTGCCCCACGCTCATCCCTGCCTTCTACTTCTACAGCACTCCTCACACTGCACTGCAATAGCTGACACCAACTATGAGCTCCTGGAGGGCAGGGGCTGGCATCTCTACCTCCTCAGCCCCGGGGCCTGGCACGAAGGTGAGCTGAGTGCACACAGGAACTGACCAGGGGACAGGTCGTGCAAAGCTCCGTCCAGAAAGCTCTGGGCCTTGCCAGGGATCCGTGTGGTTCCCCAAGCCCACCCTGGGTCTCTGCAGCCGATTGGCTGCCTTTGTGCTGATGACCCTGAGCTGAAGGTCAGCAGTGTGCTGGGGTGAACGGAAGGGGCTCAGCACCGCACAAGATAGCTGCTCCTTCTTTCTTTGGAAGAAGAAAAGCCACACGCAGGCCTCAAGACAGCAAGAGAAAAGGAGGCCTCAATGGAGATGTTCCGCTTGCCAGACTCTGAGCAAGGCAGATGTTCCAAGATGCCGTGCGGTGTCTGGTCCAATCCTCCGATCCCAGCAACTGCAGCCAAGTCCATTCCTGCCAGACAGCCTTGGAGATGCAAGAGAGCCGAAGCAGGCCCCTCGGGGCAGAAGAATTAAGTGACTTTTTCCGGGAATTTAGGAAGCTTCAGTCGCTGAATGAAAAAATCCATCTTTGTAATGAGGGGCAAACACACGTCTTCCACGTCTGAATTAGGTCAAGAGGAGAAAGGACATTGTGAGGCCAATTTGCAGGCGACTGAGATGAAATGGCTCAAGGAGGCTGCTGCTTCTACAGCTCCAGCAATGGACGGGCACTGAGGATTAGCTTTGGAAAGGGAGTAGGGGACAGGGCCGTGGAGGACTTTCACCGCACACCCATTTGGGAGGGAGGCTCTGCAAAAAACTGACTTCTCCTAAGCCTTATGCTTGTGGGGATGTGAAATGGTGCAGCTGCCACGGAAAGCAGGGTGGAGGCTCCTCAAACAGGTAAACACAGAACTGCCGTATGATTCAGCAATTCCACTGCTGGGTATAGACCCAAGAGAATCGAAGGCAGGGTTGCAGAGAGGTTTGCACGCTCGTGCCCACTGCAGCATTGTTCACAATAGCTGCAACATGGAAGCAACCCAAATATCCATCACAGGTGAGTGGATACACAAAGTGGGGTATGCACATACAGTGAAATTTTCCTCGCCTTAAAAAGGATGGAAATTCCTACACATGCTACATCATGGATGAACCTTGAAAGCATTATGCAAAGGGCACCTGGTTAAACTGCAGCTTCTAGTTTGGGAGGTCTGTGGGGGCCTGAGATTCTGCATTTCTAATGAACATCCAGGTGAGGTCCTCGGCCCAGACTTTGAGTAGCAGAGACCCCATCAGCACCTGAATTCTCTCCTAGCCCTAATGCCTCCACCTCCAGGAGCAGCTCTCTGTAAACTGGATGGGGCCAGGACCCCCACAGCTTCCCAAGGCAGAAGGAGAATACTTCTCAGAGGTTAGCAGACTCTCTCTAGGCAGCTGCTGCAGGCAGGTCACAAATCACCACCATCTCTAAGACTGGAGGACTGGCTGCTGGGAATAAAGCAGTGATGGAGGCTGGCTGTGGTGGCTCAAGCCTGTAATCCCAGCACTTTGAGAGGCCGAGGCAGGAGGATCATTTGAGCCAGGAGTTTGAGACCAGCCTGGGCAACATAGCAGACCCTGTCTCTACAAAAAATAAAAAATTTTCCAGGCGAGGTGGTGCATGACTGTGGTCCTAGCTCCTAGGGAGGCCGAGGTGGGAGGATCGATTGAGCCCAGGAGTTTGAGGCTGCAGTGAGCCCTGTTTGCCACTGCACTCCAGCCTGAGCGGCAGAGCTAGACCTTGTCTCTTAAAAAAGGAGCACTCCTCCTGCTCTGTCCATGGCTTCCTGGCCTCGAGTCCCAGATACCAAACAGAGAGGGAAGCTGAAGCCTTAGGAAAATGGCATGTACCCCGCCCTGCCCAGGGCTCCTGCCAGCCCCCTGCCGGGGGTCCGGGATACGGCACGTCCCTTGTCCAGGGCTCCTGCCAGCCCCCCTGCTGGGGGTCCGGGATATGGCATGTCCCCCGCCCTGCCCAGGGCTCCTGCCAGCCCCCTGCTGGGGGTCCGGGATATGGCATGTCCCCCGCCCTGCCCAGGGCTCCTGCCAGCCCCCTGCTGGGGGTCCGGGATATGGCACGTCCCCCGTCCAGGGCTCCTGCCAGCCCCCTGCTGGGGGTCTGGGATACGGCATGTCCCCCGTCCAGGGCTCCTGCCAGCCCCCCTGCTGGGGGTCCGGGATACGGCATGTCCCCCGTCCAGGGCTCCTGCCAGCCCCCCTGCTGGGGGTCCGGGATATGGCACGTCCCCCGTCCAGGGCTCCTGCCAGCCCCCTGCTGGGGGTCTGGGATATGGCACGTCCCCTGCCCTGCCCCAGGCTCCTGCCAGCCTCCTGCTGGGGGTCCAGGATACGGCATGTCCCCTGCCCTGCCCCAGGCTCCTGCCAGCCCCCCTGCCAGGGGTCCGGGATGACTCTCAGCAGGACACATCCCCTCCTCGGTGCAAAGTGGGCTCAAGCCAGGTTAGGGGAAAGGTCAGGTTCTGACCCAGCCCCTTCCCTCCATGCTGGGCTGGGTAATACCTGCCCCCAGCCTGAGCTGGACCTCCTCTAAGGGACGTGGGCAAAATATAAGACTGCCCAGTCTTCCTTCATGAAGACTCAGGTCATCGTTTCATAGGCAGGCTCCCCTGCACCCACACTGTGGGACACCTTCGGCTGAGACCAGAAAAAAAAAACGATTGCTTCCCTCAAATGGTGACAATGCATCCCAGGCTCAGGCGGGCTCTGCTGTGGCCCTGCCCAGCCTCCCCATGGCTAGCTGGACTCTCAGTGAGACTCAAAGCTGGCTGACTCAGATCCCAAGCAATTAGGAGCACCAGTCCTCTCTAATTAACCAGCCAGCCCCTCTCCCTTCCCACCAAGGCCCTCAGATAATGAGGGCAGGCAGTCGAGGCATGCAGGCCCAATTACGGAGGGGACGCAGCTCCGAGGACCGGCATCTCGGCTTCCACCCACAAGCTCATTAGCTTGTAGCTGCTGAACGCTGCCAGGGCTCCTGCTGGGGGCGCGTGTGTGTGCCCAGGAGCACCTGAGGCTCTGTCCTCCCCAACCATGCCTGGGCCTGGATGCTTCCCACGGCAGGGATCTCCCCAGCATCCCTTCTCCAGCCTGCCCAAGCCCACACACCTCCCAGGGCCCCAGGCTGCAGCCATCCGCAGAAGGTGAGGAGGCGGAATGTGGAGATGGAGATAAACAGGGAGGTGGCCCAGAAACCGGCAGTCCCAGAGTGGAGGGCCCGATTCCTCACACCGTGTTAGAGCCCTTCCAGCCCCCCAGGGCTGCCGCCTTAACCCCATTCCCAGCTGTAATTAATTACCCTTAATGGTTTCACGCCTCCCTCCAGAGCACTGAGATCCGCATGGCTCCTGACACCAGTCGGTGTGCGATAAATATTTGTGGGATAAGGAAGGGATGGCATCGTCTCTCCTCCCAGACACGAGAGAGCCCTGCAGGGGCAAGGGCTTCGCAGGGGCTATGTCTGGGCCTCCCTGATTCTCCAGCGACTCGGGTTCTAGGCCACCACCCCCTACAGCAGGGCCCCCAGGGGGGCAGTGCCTCTGCGATCATCTCCCTGGAGTCCCAGGCCCTCCACACCTGCCCATTCACTGCTCAAACGCAGTTCATCTCCCGAAAGACTCCCCTGCACCTGCCCATTCACTGCTCAAATGCAGCTCGTCCCCTGAAAGACTCCTCTACACCTGCCCATTCACTGCTCAAATGCAGCTCGTCCCCTGAAAGACTCCACCCTCTTACAAGTCCCCTACAGCTCAGCGTCCCAAAGATCTCAGCTCTGCCCTCTGTTTTCAGGTCCCCAGGATCTCAGCCTTGGAGGCAGCTGGAGCATGCCCCGTCCCTCCTCCTCGGTCCACTGTTCCTAAGTCGAATCTGCCATTGCATCCTGTGTTCCTTTTTCCTTCAGCACACGCCTCTGTGCTCCCCAGGCATCATCCTCACAGTTGAGCACTTGCCCAGCCCGTTTCCAGCTTCCGGCCTCAGCCTGTGTGGTCTTCCCCTCCCCGGATGCCCTTCCCTCTGCCCTCAGCCTTTCAGAAACCTGCCCAGCCTCCAGGGGCCCACTCCTCCAGGCAGCCCTCCTGGCTGCTCTGAGTCCTGGGAACCCCAGTCCCAACCACAGTGCACGTCACACTAGAGAATACTGTCTGCCCATCTTGACGGTCAGGACGTGAGGGAAGCGATTATTCTGAAAACCTCTCTTTTTGGATCCCCCCAACCCAGGATTGGCTCACAATGGGCGAAGCGATCGAGAAAGACATTTATACGAGTAACGAGACAATTATAACGAGACATTTATACGAGCACAAAGACTGAGGCGTTTCCCTGCCGGCTCAGGACATCCAGTGCTGGAGAGCTACAAAGGCTTCCAGAGGCTTTTATGTAAATTACAGAAAATATGGGACTAGCTGTGGGAGCTCCAATTTTAAGAAAACAAGAATTCCAACGAGGAGAATGTGGGTGCTATGGACTGAACTGTGTCCCTTCAAAATTCCTATGTTGAAGCCCTGACCCCCAGAGTGACTGTATTTGGAGAGAAGGTCTTTAGGAGGTAATTAAGGTAAAATGAGGGTGCAAGGGTGAGGCCCTAATCCGATAGGACTAGTGTCTTTATAAGAAAAGGGAGAGGCCGGGTGCTGTGGCTCACGTCTGTAATCCCAGTGCTTTGGGAAGCGGAGGTGGGAGGATTGCTTGAGGGCTAGTTAGAGACCAGCCCGGGCAACAAAGCGATACCCTGTCTCTACAAAAAATTAAAAATTAGACAGGCGTGGTGGCACACATCTGTAGTCTCAGCTGCCCGGGAAGCTGGGGTGGGAAGATTGCAGGACCCCAGGAGTTGAAGGCTGCAGTGAACAATGATCATGCCACTGCACTCCAGCCTGGGTGACAGAGTGAGACCCTGTCAAAACACAGAAAAGCAAGAGGAGGAGGAGAGACTAGAGCCCTCTCCTCCTGCCACACGAGGACACACGGAGAAGGCAGCTGTCTGCAAGCCATGAACAGGGCCCTCACCAGACACAGAATCAGCCAGCACCTTGATCTCAGAATTTCGTGCCTCCAAACTGAAAAATAAATATCTACGGCTGAAGGTGCCCAGTCTGTGGCACTTTATTAGGGCGGTCTGAGCTGACTATGACACGGGGAGTCACTCAGCCTCTTCTGAAATGTCTGGGGATCTGCTCCATCGTTGGTAACACGTGTGTGGCCTCAGCAGGCAGGACCCTGAAGAGGTTTCATAACAATCACAGGCATCCTTTACTGCACGCTGCCAATGGGCCAGGCAGTCTGCTAAGGGCTTCTCCTGCACTATTGCATCCATCAACGATGACAGAAGCTTAATGACCCCATTTTACAGATGAAAGAACAGAGGCCCAGAGAGGTTAAGTGACTTGTACGAGACCGCGCCACCGTGGCCAAGCTGGGACCTCAACCCAAGTCTGTCTGGTCCTGCAGCTCCGTGCACAACCACCTCACAATCCTGCAGCCAGGGAGGAGGGAAGCTAGCCGTGCCAGGTGCTTGCAGGAACACGGAGGCACTCCTGAAAGTACAGATGAGTCCCTCCCATCTGGGCAGGAGCCCCCAGCACTGCGTGGCATCTGCGTGGGGACAGTCCTCACTGGCAAGTCCAGGAGAACCGGCTGCCCTCTTGCTGCTCAGGGTGGACCAAGCGACCTCTCATTCCAGCCCCCTGAAGTCGAGAGCTCTTTCCTTCCTAGAACCCTCCTTCACCCCCTCTAATTCCTCTCCATCTGCTTAGAATACACTGAAGAGGCTGACGCTCTGTCTCAGCAAATGGCCTCAGTCCCTACGTTGCCTGTCTCCATCCCTATCATCTCCCAGTGACGGCCATCACCACCTGTCTCCAGCACTAGGGTCGTCTCTTAAAAACACAGATCAGATCACACCCCTGCTCAAAACACTCCACTGGCATCTCATTAAACTTAAGTGAAATCTCAGCTCCTGACCTTGACTGGCGAGGCTGTGTGATGGGCCATCCGGCCGCTCACTCTCTGCCCCAGATGCCACCATGTGCCCCTTGAACATGCCCAGCTCGTTCCTGCCTCAGGGCCTTCAGGACTGTTCCAGGGGAAACTTGCCGTTCCCTCTGCCGGGAACACTGTTCCACCCAGATCTTCCCAGGGCCAGCTGTTGCTTGTGTTTGGGCCTGAGCTCAGAGAGGCCCCCTAAGCCTCTCCCTAGGTGCTCTGCGTTAATTCAACAGAGTCCTCGGTGTACCTAGTCTTGCTTCATGTTTATTCATTTGTCTTCTCTATGCCCTGACCCTGGAAAGTCATCTCCACAACAGGGTGGACTGTGTCCATCTCGTTCACGGCGTCGGCAGGACCCAGAACAGGGCTTGCACACAATGGGCTATTATTTACAGAATGAATGAAGATGAATGAACGAATGACACCACCTTCTCCAAGAAGGAAGAGTGAACCCTCCAAAGCCCCCAAATGCCCACCATCCAGCTGTGCTCCCCTAATACACTCCCCTCCCACCTCAATCCTGGAACAAGCCCCTCAGAAGCCTCAGAAGCTCAAAGATTCCCCGGCCTCATCACCCAAGCCAGGACTGAGACCTCAGTCTGCTCAACACCAAGAACCATCTGCAACAGAAACGCCCGGACCAGCCCACAGCTCCAGAGTAGCGTGGGGACCCACATCCAGCTGAGGTCCTTCCCCAGGACAGCCACTGTTGCCTAAGACATGGCTCCAAGGAGCACCTGTACTAACCGTTGCACAGCCACACCAGCAGCGGCCTCTGCAGCACAGGCCCTGGACTGTCCCAGGGGAAGTGGGCCAGGATCTGTGCCTCTTCATGGTCCCCTATAGCTGGAATATTTACCACAGGCCAGGCTCTGTGCCTCTCCACAGGCCCCTATACCTGGAATATTCACAGCAGCTGTGGGGTTGAGAGACAGGAGGAGGAAGCACACTGCCAGCTCCCGTTCTCCCAGGCAGGAGTCACTGCCCGAGTCCTGCAAGTTGGCCATTCCCAAGTCTCTGTGCCCCACCTCCACTGACATGTAGTCCCTCTGCCCCCACCTCCATTGACCTGTAGTCTCTATGCCCCCACCTCCATTGACCTGTAGTCCCTATACTCCACGTCCATTGACCTGTAGTCCCTGTGACTCCACCTCCATTGACCTGTAGTCTCTGTGCCCCACCTCCACTGACAGGCAGTCTCTGTGCTCCACCTCCACTGACCTGTAGTCCCTGTGCCCCACCTCCATTGACCTGTAGTCCCTGTGACTCCACCTCCATTGACCTGTAGTCTCTGTGACTCCACCTCCATTGACCTGTAGTCTCTGTGCTCCACCTCCACTGACCTGTAGTCCCTGTGCCCCACCTCCATTGACCTGTAGTCCCTGTACTCCACCTCGACTGACCTGTAGTCCCTGTGCTCCACCTCCACTGACCTGTAGTCCCTGTGACCCCACCTCCATTGACCTGTAGTCTCTGTGCTCCACCTCCATTGACCTGTAGTCCCTGTGCCCCACCTCCATTGACCTGCAGTCTCTGTGCTGCACCTCCATTGACCTGTAGTCCCTGTGCTCCACCTGCACTGACCTGCAGTCCCTGTGCCCCCACCTCCATTGACCTGTAGTCCCTGTGACTCCACCTCCATTGACCTGTAGTCCCTGTGACCCCACCGCCACTGACCTGTACTCCCTGTGACTCCACCTCCACTGACCTGTAGTCCCTGTGCCACACCTCCATTGACCTGTAGTCCCTGTGCCCCCACCTCCATTAACCTGTAGTCCCTGTGCCTCACCTGCATTGACCTGTAGTCACTGTGCGTCCACCTCCATTGACCTGTAGTCCCTGTGACTCCACCTCCATTGACCTGTAGTCCCTGTGACCCCACCTCCATTGACCTGTAATCCCTGTGCTCCCACCTCCATTGACCTGTAGTCCCTGTGCCCCACCTCCATTGACCTGTCGTCCCTGTGCTCCACCTCCACTGAACTGTAGTCCCTGTACTCCCCCTCCACTGACCTGTAGTACCTGTGCTCTACCTCCACTGACCTGTAGTACTTGTGACCCCACCTCCATGGGCCGGTAGTCTCTGTGCTCCACCTCCATTGACCTGTAGTCCCTGTGACCCCACCTCCATTGACCTGTAGTCCCTGTGCCCCACCTCCATTGACCCGTAGTCTCTGTGCTCCACATCCATTGACCTGTAGTCCCTGTGACCCCATCTCTATTGACCTGTAGTCCCTGTGCCCCACCTCCATTGACCTGTAGTCCCTGTGCCCCCACCTCCATTGAACTGTAGTCCCTGTGCCCCCACCTCCATTGACCTGTAGTCCCTGTGACTCCATCTCCACTGACGTGTAGTCCCTGTGCCCCCACCTCCATTGATCTGTAGTCCCTGTGACCCCACCTCCACTGACGTGTAGTCCCTGTGCCCCACCTCCATTGACCTGTAGTCCCTGTGCCCCCACCACCATTGACCTGTAGTCCCTGTGACTCCACATCCATTGACCTGTAGTCCCTGTGACTCCACCTCCATTGACCTGTAGTCTCTGTGCTTCCACCTCCATTGACCTTTAGTCCCTCTGACCCCACCTCCATTGACCTGTAGTCCCTGTACTCCACCTCCATTGTCCTGTAGTCCCTGTGCTCCACCTCCATTGACCTGTAGCCTCTGTGCTCCACCTCCATTGACCTGTAGTCCCTGTGCTCCACCTCCATTGATATGCAGTCCCGGTGCCCCCACCTCCATTGACCTGTAGTCCCTGTGCTCCACCTCCATTGATATGCAGTCCTTCTGACCCCACCTCCACTGCCCTGTAGTCTCTGTGCCCCACCTCCATTGACCTGTAGTCCCTGTGCTCCACCTCCACTGACGTGTAGTCCCTATGCTCCACCTCCATTGACCTGTAGTCTCTGTGACCCCACCTCCATTGACCTGCAGACCCTGTGCTCCACCTCCATTGAGCAGTAGTCCCTGTGCCACCTCCATTGACCTGTAGTCTCTGTGCTCCACCTCCATTGACCTGTAGTCCCTGTGCTCCACCTCCACTAACCTGCAGTCCCTGTGCCCCCACCTCCATTGACCTGTAGTCTCTGTGCCCCACCTCCATTGACCTGTAGTCCCTGTGATCCACCTCCACTGACCTGTAGTCCCTGTGCCCCCACCTCCATTGACCTGTAGTCCCTGTGACTCCACCTCCATTGACCTGTAGTCCCTGTGCTCCACCTCCATTGACCTGTAGTCCCTGTGACCCCACCTCCATTGTCCTGTAGTCCCTGTGACTCCACCTCCATTGACCTGTAGTCCCTGTGCTCCACCTCCATTGACCTGTACTCCCTGTGACTCCACCTCCATTGACCTCTAGTCCCTGTGTCCCCACCTCCATTGACCTGTAGTCTCTGTGCTCCCACCTCCATTGACCTGTAGTCTCTGTGCTCCCACCTCCATTGACCTGTAGTCCCTGTGACTCCACCTCCTTTGACCTGTAGTCTCTGTGCTCCACCTCCATTGACCTGTAGTCCCTGTGTCCCCACCTCTATTGACCTGTAGTCTCTGTGCTCCCACCTCCATTGACCTGTAGTCTCTGTGTTCCACCTCCATTGACCTGTAGTCTCTGTGACCCTACCTCCATTGACCTGTAGTCTCTGTGACCCCACCTCCATTGACCTGTAGTCCCTGTGACTCCACCTACATTGACCTGTAGTCCCTGTGTCCCCACCTCTATTGACCTGTAGTCTCTGTGCTCCCACCTGCATTGACCTGTAGTCTCTGTGACCCCACCTCCATTGACCTGTAGTCCCTGTGCTCCACCTCCATTGACCTGTAGTCTCTGTGCTTCCACCTCCATTGACCTGTAGTCCCTGTGACTCCACCTCCATTGACCTGTAGTGCCTGTGACCCCACCTCCATTGACCTGTATTCCCTGTGCCCCACCTCCACTGACCTGTAGTCCCTGTGACTCCACTTCCACTGACGTGTAGTCCCTGTGCCCCACCTCCATTGACGTGTAGTCCCTGTACCCCCACCTTCATTCACCTGTAGTCCCTGTGCCCCCACCTCCATTAACCTGTAGTCCCTGTGCCCCCACCTCCATTGACCTGTAGTCCCTGTGACCCACCTCCACTGACCTGTAGTCCCTGTGACTCCACCTCCACTGGCCTGTAGTCCCTGTGCCACACCTCCATTGACCTGTAGTCCCTGTGTCCCCACCTCCATTGACCTGTAGTCCCTGTGCCTCACCTCCATTGACCTGTAGTCCCTGTGCGCCCACCTCCATTGACCTGTAGTCCCTGTGACTCCACCTCCATTGACCTGTAGTCCCTGTGACCCCACCTCCATTGACCTGTAATCCCTGTGCTCCCACCTCCATTGACCTGTAGTCCCTGTGCCCCACCTCCATTGACCTGTAGTCCCTGTGCTCCACCTCCACTGACCTGTAGTCTCTGTGCTCCACCTCCATTGACCTGTAGTCTCTCTGCACCCACCTCCATTGTCCTGTAGTCCCTGTGACCCCACCTCCATTGACCTGTAGTCTCTGTGCTCCACCTCCACTGACCTGTAGTCTCTGTGCCCCACCTCCACTGACCTGTAGTCTCTGTGCTCCACCTCCAGTGACCTGTAGTCCCTGTGACTCCACCTCCACTGACATGTAGTCCCTGTGCCCCACCTCCATTGACCTGTAGTCCCTGTGCTCCACTTCCATTGACTTGTAGTCCCTGTACTCCACCTCCATTGACCTGCAGTGCCTGTGCTCCACCTCCATTGACCTGCAGTCCCTGTGCCCCACCTCCATTGACCTGTAGTCTCTGTGCCCCACCTCCATTGACCTGTAGTCCATGTGCCCCACCTCCATTGACCTGAAGTCCCTGTGCCCCCACCTCCATTGACCTGTAGTCCCTGTGCCCCCACCTCCATTGACCTGTAGTCCCTGTGACTCCACCTCCAGTGATGTGTAGTCCCTGTGCTCCACCTCCATTGACCTGTAGTCCCTGTGCTCCACCTCCACTGACCTGTAGTCTCTGTGCTCCACCTCCATTGACCTGTAGTCTCTCTACACCCACCTGCATTGACCTGTAGTCCCTGTGACCCCACCTCCATTGACCTGTAGTCTCTGTACTCCACCTCCACTGACCTGTAGTCTCTGTGCCCCACCTCCACTGACCTGTAGTCTCTGTGCTCCACCTCCAGTGACCTGTAGTCCCTGTGACTCCACCTCCACTGACGTGTAGTCCCTGTGCCCCACCTCCATTGACCTTTAGTCCCTGTGCTCCACCTCCATTGACCTGTAGTCCCTGTACTCCACCTCCATTGACCTGCAGTGCCTGTGCTCCACCTCCATTGACCTGCAGTCCCTGTGCCCCACCTCCATTGACCTGTAGTCTCTCTGTCCCACCTCCATTGACCTTTAGTCCATGTGCCCCACCTCCATTGACCTGAAGTCCCTGTGCCCCCACCTCCATTGACCTGTAGTCCCTGTGGCCCCACGTCCATTGACTTGTAGTCTCTGTGCTCCACACCTCCATTGACCTGTAGTCCATGTGCCCCCACCTCCATTGACCTGTAGTTTCTGTGCTCCACACCTCCATTGACCTGTAGTCCCTGTGCCCCCACCTCCATTGACCTGAAGTCCCTGTGCCCCCACCTCCACTGACCTGTAGTCCAGGGCCTTGGCAAGGCTGAAGGAGGAGCCCGCACAGTCTAACACCCAGGCCCCCATCTCCCCTCCAGTATTTTTGGGCCAGTTAATCCACCTTCCTCAGCCCAGTTTTCCCTTACCACATATGACAAAAGCAGGAAAAGAAATGAGGTAGCTGAAGTCCTGGCTTTCCTGCTTACTAATTGGGCAGGTTAACTTCACTGTACCTTTGGTTTTCTCATCCAGCTTTTGAATGCCCCTGAAAATGCCCTCAAGTTTGCCAGTGGCCTGCATGTTCCACATCCACATTTATTTCTTTTGACTTCTCCATCTTTCCCGGTTCTCTCAACAGTTCACACCCCACCCCACCCCACCCCATCCTCCATCCTCCACCCTCCACCCTCTGTTGTTTCTTCCCAGGGTTTATTATTTCCTGACATCATCTTGTTTATTTGATCATTACTTGTTTTTTAGTTCCCTTGCCCAATATCATCTCAAGAAAATTCCTTCTCTGTCTTCTTCAGTATAATAACTCCAGTCTTAAAACCATGACTAGCAGCCAGGCACGGTGGCTCACGCCTGTAATCCCAGCAGTTTGGGAGGCCGAGGCGGGCGGATCACCTGAGGTCAGGAGTTCAAGACCAGCCTGGCCAACATGGTGAAACCCTGTCTCTACTAAAATTCAAAAATTAGCCGGTAGTGGTGGCATGCACCTGTAATCCCAGCTACTCAGGAGGCTGAGGCAGGAGAATCACTTGAACCTGGAGGCAGAGGTTGCAGTGAGCCAAGACTGCACCATTTGCACTCCAGCCTGGGTGACAGAGCAAGACTCCGTCTCTGGGGGTGGAAAAAAGCATGACTAGCACATGGAAGTTACTTGAGGATGGGTTCCAGCAAAACTAAGGTGAAAACAAAAAAGAGGAAGACATGGTGTCTTGAGATCAGTGTTTCTCACCTAGGAGGGCAGCAAAGGGAAATCCCGTTATAATAGCTGTGCAGCTACCAACCTAGGAGGAGCAGGAGTAAGAATCTAGAAGGGTTTATGCCAGGAAAAAAAAAATAGCCTCCATATGATAGTATAATTAAGATGCTAACTATCTTGAGGATTAGAAGGCATATTATTCTCCCAGAAATAAGAAAACGAAAGGCAAGTCGAAACTCCAGAAAAACTAAAAGCTATATTTAAAAAGTCCTAGACTCAATGCGAAACAATTTAATATGTGGCACAATTTAGTATAAGAAGAAAATCAATTTGATCTCCCTGCAAAGATCATTCTTCTTTGAGTAACCAGGGATCAAGAGAAGCAGGACCAATGGAACAGAAAGTGTAATCCCAGCATACTGCTTGGACTTCAGGAAGATAGGATTTAACTAATAACAACTAAAAACATTTTTTCCTTGTTGCCTTCATATATTCTGGAGATGATAACATTTATTGAGTGCCTATGTACCAGGCAAGGTTTTAAGAGTTTTGCGTTGAAGAATATTTAATCCTCATAGCATGGTGAGGTACATGGTATCACGACCACATATTACAGACAAGGAACATCAGGTGTGAGATATTAAACAAGTTTTCTGAGGTCATAGCAGAAGAGCTAGATTCACAGCCTGACTTCTAACACCAGCTCTGGGTCTCGTGGCTCGGGTGTGAATCTACCAGAAGGGCTAGAAGATGCCTCCAAGCTGAGACGCAGAGCTGGCCCTAGACATCAGTCCATTTGGTTTTTAAGTCTTAGTGCTTCTTGCCAAGATGCAGAGGATACCACATGCCCAACGCAGACATACACACTCCTGGGAGCCAGGATGCAAAGCCACAGCGCAGCGGGGCTGGTCCAGGCTGGGAAGCCAGAATGACAGGGCCAGAGCAGGGTCTTACCTTCCTGCAGTCTTTGCAGAACACCGACGAGCTGCCCAGGAAGCCCAGCACCTCCCCGCAGAGCAGACACTGGGACAGGCCGTTCCCCATCACATTCCGCCTCATGGTCTCCAGCCGCTCCACCAGCCGCCTGCAGCACAGGACACAGAGTCAGAGGGACTGTGCTTCCTGCCTGGGCACAGTTGCACTGAGGCCCGAAACCGTACCATGCCACATGTGCTGTCCCCTCACCTGGGATATTGTTCCTTGCCCCGCCCTTCCCCTGGATAACAGCGAATCCTTCATTCACTCACCAACTATTCAGTGAGCACCTATGATTCATCAGACACTGGGAATACTGTAGCAAACAAGCCAGAGACAGACATGGTCCCTGTTCTCATGGAACTTACCTTCAATAAGGAAGAAAATTCATAAGCAAGAAAACAAGCGAACTGGTTTCAGATAGAGAGCAGCGCTATGAAATGGAAATAGTGGGGGGAGGGAGGGGGAGGGAGATTGAGGGGAGGGAGGGGGAGGGAGACTGAGGGGAGGGAGGGGGAGGGAGATTGAGGGGAGGGAGGGGGAGGGACATTGAGGGGAGGGAGGGGGAGGGACATTGAGGGGAGGGAGGGGGAGGGACATTGAGGGACAGGGGCATGTTCCATGGGACCAGAGAAGGCTCTCGGAGAACACGTGGACTCACAGCTGAAGAATGAGCCATGCCATCTGGCCTGTCTTTCCCACTGTAAAGATAAGGCCGGGCAGGGTGGCTCATGCCTGACATCCCAGCCCTTTGTGAGGCTGAGGCAGGCGGATCGCTTGAGCCCAGAAGTTCGAGAGCAGCCTGGGTAACATAGTGAGACCCCATCTCTACAAAAAAAATAAAATAAAAAATAGCTGGGTGTGGTGGTGCCCACGCACGGTCCTAGCTACTTAAGGCTGAGGTGGGGAGGTCGCTTGAGCCCAGGAAGTTGAGGCTGCAGTGATCTGTGATAGCACCACTGCATTCTAATCTACACTGCAGAGTGAGACCCTGTCCCCCCCCAAAAAAAAAGAAAAGGAAAAGAAAGATCAAAGATACATAGGAGGCCAGAATGAAATCAATTCCTGCCCAGTGCATTTGTGTCTTCCTACTTGTGCTTTTCTGTGTTTTTCAGATTTTCTAGGAAATATGAATTGCTTTCGTAATTAAACACTGGACACGATGGAAGTGCTGGAAGACTGAGCTGTGGTCGGCGCTGGAGGCGGAGGCCAGGAGAGGCACGTAGAGCCAGGCGGGGAGCGGCTCCTGCTGGAGCCTTTCAGGGGCGACCTGTGGCTTGGCCTCCACCTGAACCCCTCCCTTGGCTGAACCACAGCTGACCTGCAGGTGTGCACAGCCGAACAGCTCCTGGGAGGCTTCACCAGGCTCATTCACGCCCTCAGCATGGGGCGCACAGCTCAGCTAGCAGCCCCGTCTCACAGAGGGGTGTCCTGAGGCCTCAGCGGGCTGGGTTACACTCCCAGAGTTCAGACAGAGCACCCTTCAGCAAGGGCTGGAGTCAGGGACCTCCTCACCCACTCCCAGAGGTAAATAGCAAAACCAGGACCCGGAGTGCCGGCCTCCCAGTCCCCTGCGCTTGCGCCAAAGCCCTTGCTGTCCTCCCACTGAGCTGGCCCCGGCCCCGCCTCACCCGATTCTCTGCTGCTCCAGGACGTCGAGCCGCTCTGCCCTCTGGATGACCTGCAGGATGGCCTCCACCTCCGCCGGGCTGAGGTGCTGCTTCCTCCTCTGCTTCTCCGTCTGGTAGGTGTGCACGGACCAGCCCGTCTGCAGCCTCGAGAGGGAACAGCACAGACGGCGTGGAGGCCTCCCCGGTGCAAACTCCGGCAGCCCCTACCACATCCACCAAGCCCCCCCGAGAACAGTCAGTGGACGGCCCAGGTGCCGCGTGCCGGGACGACGAGCGCGGGCAGCAGAGATGGCCCAGGTGGCAACAGAGATGGCCCAGGTGGCAACAGAGACGGCCCAGGTGGCAACAGAGACGGCCCAGGTTCCGTGTGCCGGGGTTGGGATTGCGGGCAACAGAGACGGGGCAGGTGCTGTGTGCCGGGGACAAGGCACATGGGCAACAGAGACGGCCCAGGTGCCGTGTGCAGGGGGCAAGGCACGCGGGCAACAGAGACGGGGCAGACACAGGCTCCAAGCGCCAGCCCTGCCATCCGCCAGCTCCTGGGCCTTGGCAAAGACGGCAGCACCACCTTAGCCCGGGAGCCAGAAACACAGAATGTGACGCTCACGTACACAGAGAAGGCCAAGGTCACAGCACGAGAGGTGTCAAGGGAGGAGCATGAGAGATTATCAAGAGAAGAAAAAGGGAGCTCGGAGCTCCGTAAGGTAGTGAGACGGAGTTCACCAGGGGACAGGAAAGCCATGTAATTAGGGTGAAGACACAGCGTTGATATGAACACTTTGAAAACTAGCAGGTTCGAGGCGGGGGGGAAGCGAGTTACAGAAGAGGAGCCGTGGTGAGGGCAGGTGAGGGCGGGCAACGGCGAGGCAGGGCTGGGACTGGGTCCGGAGGTTGAGCTGTCTCTGCTCCAATGGGCTGCGGGACTGACGCCTCCTGAGGCTGCAAATGGGGCGGGGGAAGGACTCAAACTCCTTCTATTTTTCTGGACAGGGAGAGAGTGGCAGCAGCAGATCAAACCCCGGAGCCCCTGCCCTGGGTGGGTGCCAGCTTCCCTGAGACATTCCGTGCCTGTGACATTGCTGTGTGCAGAGATGAACGAGACGGGAAAAGCCACTGCACCCTGAAGAACTACAATATGGTGGGGGTGGCAGATGCCAATCAATGACACAGATACCTATTTAACTAACAGGTCTAAGGCGTTTTCATTCTACGCATTACCAAGTACCCGCTGGGACGCCTGGCCTCTTAGGTGCCCGGGACAGGCTGCTTGGTGGGACGTGCAGGTGGGGTCAGGAAGTGGATAAATAAGAGAATTACCCAGCAGGGAGGGGATGAGGCTCTGGAAAGGCTCGCTTTCTTTAGGGAAGTGTCAGAAGGCAAGAGTCCTGGAGGCAGGACCTAGGGCAGCAGGCTGAGGGAGGCGGACCCTTTCCTGGGGGCCCCCTGACACAAGATGGGCCCCGGTGGTCTCATGTCCTGCCTGGTCCCGGCTGTTGCAGCTAACGGTTCTCTGTGGCCGACACAATAGGAGTTTGGAAAGCTAATACGCATATCCTTTCTCTGTCAGGGGGAGCTGGGGGCTGATGAATGTGAAGATCTAGGGTTTGGAGTCCACTGGACAGTCTTATCTTCTGGTCCCGTCCCTTCCCAGATGCGAGACCTCGGATGAGGCTCTCACCCTTGGTTTTCTGATCTGTCTCTTTAAGGGATGCCATGAGAATTAATGAGGCAGGGTAGATAAGGTGCTTTTACATAGCAAATTCCCAATTGCCTGCAAATGGTCGTTAATAGTGATAACTGTAATTATCATGGGGAGGGCTGTCAGGCATGGCTTTACCATGTGTGAGCTTTTGCAGGATGAACAGGTGCTTCCCCATGGAAGGAGGGAGGCGGGTTCAGGCAGAGGAGATCACACACGAAAGGCAGGGGGCATGGGTGGTGTGTGGTGTTTCAGGGATCCATACTTCTACACTGCCGGTTTTTCCAATTTAAAAAAAAAAAAACTGCAATGCCCTAGACCAACGCTTTCCAAGCAGTGCTCACGGTGCTGGGGAAGGAAAATACCGGGGCAGCAGGGCAGGGCTGGAAGGGGGGCAAGGCCAGTAGAGTGGGCAGCCTCTGCCTGGACTACCTGCCTTGCTCCTATGAACTGCACACATGCAGGGGTTCAGGCCCCAAAAAGCAATATCCCCTCCACAACCCCTACCTACTGGTTTGTTCCATCTGAGCATTTCGGAGGCTCCAGGGGTCAGTGATGGGCCAGGACACACTTCGTGTGGTTCCCGGGCCAGGGGAAGGGAGTTGGAAGCCAGGGCCCCCAGGTTCAGGGAATCACCACTCCCTCCACCCTCCAGCTAATGTAGAGAAAGGAAGGGTCCCAGGAACACACAGAAGGAGGGACAGAAGCATCAGCACCGCCACCACTGCCTGTCCTGATGGACACGGGTCCCACGAGCTTGTTCTGGGGCTGGTGATGGCACAGGACACTACAGATGTCTTCCATCGGACCCTCACAGTCACCCCGAGGCAGGCCCGGACCCTCCATCACCCCGCGAGACAGTCCAGACCCTCAGTCACCTTGCGAGGCAGGCCTGGACCCTCAGTCACCCCCCAAGGCAGGCCCAGACCCTTACAGTCACCCGGTGAGGTGGGCCCAGACCCTCAGTCACCCCGAGAGGCAGGCCTGGACCCTCACAGTCATCCCACAAGGCAGGCCTAGACCCTCAGTCACCCTGCAAGGCAGGCCCAGACCCTCAGAGTCGCCCTGTAAGGCCCAGACCCTCAGCCACGCGGCGAGGCAGGCCCGGACCCTGAGGCACCCCGCCCCATTTCTCAGAGGAAACGAGGTGCGGAACGTAGCTAGCTAGCAGGAATCTCGGGTTGGCCTCCACCGCTGACTCAAGGCCTGAGCCCTGACCTGCCGAGTTCGTATCCAGCAGCTGCTGACAGCCCTGCTTGGGAGCATTTCAGTCTCCCCCAGGGCCGCCTCCGCACCCACGTTCCTGCCTCCACCTGCTCCGCCTCCGGGCCCCAGTCATCCACGTCCTCTCATCTCACCTGCTGCCAGGCCAGGCCCTGATGCCCGCCTGCGGCCATAGCTCCACTGAGCATGCTGCCCACCCCCTTGCAATGTCCCCTCCATGCAGCTGACGGAGGCCGACTTGAGGGCACCTGACATCGATGGGCTGCAACCTCCAGGAAGAACCTGCACGTCTGGGAGCCCCACCTGTCCTTCCCCTGCACGTTCCCCGCACGGCGCCCTCGTCTCTCAGCTCACCAGTGGCTCCCTTGTGTTCTAGGCTTCGTGCAGTCCCCAGGCCTTTGCTCATGCTGCACCCTTCACCTGGGGCCCCTGTCTCTCTCCCTAAACCTTCTGTCCACCTCTCACTCCTATTCTTTCTTTCTATCTTTCTATCTATCTAGCTAGCTAGCTATGTACCTATCTATCTATCTATCTATCTATGTCTATTTTGAGACAGAGTCTCGGTCTGTCGCCCAGGCTGGAGTGCAATGGCACAATCTCAGCTCACTGCAACATCCGCCTCCCAGGTGCAAGCAATTCTCCTGCCTCAGCCTCCTGAGCAGCTGGGATCACAGGCATGTGCCACTACACCCGGCTAATTTTTTGTATTTTTAGTAGAGACAGGGTTTCACTATGTTGGCCAGGCTGGTCTCAAATGCCTGACCTATGATCCACCTGCCTCAGCCTCCCAAAGTGCTGGGATTACAGGTGTGTGCCAACACGACCGGCTAATTTTTGTATTTTTAGGAGAGACAGGGTTTCACCGCGTTGGTCAGGCTGGTCTTGAGAACTCCTGGCCTCAGGTGATCCGCCCGCCTCAGCCTCCCAAAGTGCTGGGATTACAGGCGTGAGCCACCGCGACCGGCCTATTCTTTTTAAAGACTTCTTTACACATGACCTTCACCTGGAGGCTTTTCCTTGATCCCCTCCAAAACAGGTAAAGAATCTACTCTCAGAGTTCCTGGAAGGCCTGGGTATACGTCCTTCATTGGGCTGACACATTATTACGAGACAACATGAAACCCTCCATCTCCCCTCCGGAACATGAGTCTCTGGAGGACCAGGCCCTGCCCCTGGCCCCTGCCTACCTCTCCATCTTCCTTCCACACTGTCCACCCTTCACATTTTGCACTCACAACACACTGACCTCCGGCCAGGGCCTCCACATGCCCTGTTCCTTCTACCTCAGGGCCTTTGCACATGCTGTTCCTTCTGCCTGGAAGCGCTTCCCCCCTACTCCCATCTAACATTGGCCCATCTTCTGGGTCCCAGTGTAGGCAGCACACTCTCAGCCCCTCCTGATCCCCAGAGTAAGTCACACCTTCACCCACGTCCCCACCGCCTGTTATCACCGTCAAAGCAACTTACCTGGGTAACTATTCAAATAATGCTCACCTCTGCCCACCTGTGCTTTAAGACCAGGGACTGTGTTGGTCCTGTTCACTGCTGTGCAGTCAGTGCCTGGCACATAGTAGGGGTTTAGAAAACATCTGGTGGCAGCTGGAGGACTGAGGGGAGCCCCGAGCTGCAGCCCAGATATCCCTGAGGGTCCCACGGGACACAGCTCCCAGCTCTGCGGCTGGAGTTTAGTACGCCTCTCCTTTCCAGAGACTGTGCCAGGTACTACAAGGCAGTGCACCCCAGGGGAGGGGATAAAAGCATTCTCTCTTCCAAAGGGGCTACGACAGCATTTGGCTGCTGCTGAGAGAGAGAGAAGGTCAGGGAGAGCTGAAGGGAACCCTGGAGGGTCAGGAGTCCTGCTGGGCCCTGTCGAGAGCACAGTGGCGGAGCTCTCCTTGGAAACTCCTACCCTGCCCGGGAGGACACTTCATCTGCCTGGCGTCAGAGGACAGAGAGGGAGACGGACCGACCTCACCCACTGCGGGGGCCGCATGAAGGAGCCGAGCCCTCCTGGCGAAGGGGACCAGTTAACTGTGGTGCAGATTCCTGCAAATCACGCATGACTCCGCTCTCCTGGGGCGTTTCGAATTAATCTTTCCATCCCCCTTTGATGTTTCAGCTCTGTCCCCTGCAGGCTCATAACATCTAATTGCAATTTTTTTTAATTTGGTCCCACTTGGGAAATGCTTGCTCCCGTAATTGGCATGGGTTGAAGGATGAAGGGGCCCTTTTGGACTTATCACATGCCAGAGACGCCCAGCCCCTCTGAGGGACAGCGAGGGACTGGAAGGCAGGCAAGGCATCTGAGAACCCCCATCTCCAGCCACAGTGCACAGTCGGTGGAGATGGCCTGACCTACCCAGAGCTGAGAGGTCACTAGGCTGAGGGACAGCAGGAAAACCAGGGCCAGGCGCGGTGGCTCACGCCTGTAATCCCAGCACTTTGGGAGACCAAGGCGGGTGGATCACTTGAGGTCAGGAGTTCGAGACCAGCCTGGCCAACATGGTAAAACCCCCGTCTCTACTAAAAATACAAAAATTAGCCCATTGTGGTAGTGGGCACCTGTAATCCCAGCTACTCGGGAGGCAGGAGAATTGCTTAAACCAGGGAGGCAGAGGCTGCAGTGAGCTAAGATCGTGCCATTGCACTCCAGCCTGGGCGACAAGAAAAAAGAAAGCCAGGACCCCCAAGGGAAGAAACTGGAAGCAAGGAACTAGCGAGATTCTCAGGAGAGCACAGAGAAGGCCCTGGGGCAGCTTGGGGCTGGTTGTGCTTCAGCCTCAGGGGCAGCGCCTCGTCCACTGCAACAGACTTTTGTTCCCCCGTCTGACAGTGCCAAGCACTGGGCTATGACTGGGCATCCAGAGATCAAAATCTCCCTGTCTTAAGGGACTTGCAGTCCTACAGCTCAGTGACAGGAGAGAAGGCACACGAGGTGGTGTGGGTCCCTTACAGCCTGTTGATAGAAAGGACACACAGGCTAAGGAGTCAGCTGGACCCAGGTGTGGGTTGCAGCCCTGCCACCCACAAGTTAAGTGATGTGGGCAAGGAGCTCAGCCTCACTTTGCTCATCAGGGAAATGGGGATAAATTCTGCATGGTAGTTAAATGAGTGAATGGCTGTGTCCAGGGCCTGGAGTGTGGCATGCATCCGACAGGCACCTCTCTCCAAACATCTCTTTCTGGGCCCCTGGGAATGAATCTTGCTGAAGACAGGAGAGGAGCAGGGAGGCAGAAGGAAGGGACGGCCTGGGGGGCCCCAGAGGTACTCACTTGGCTCGAAGGGCAAGCTGCCGGTCATTGGGGCAAACCCACTGATCATTCCCGCTGCCGAAGATGGTGTCGGCCATGGCTCGGAGCACCCGGCTGGGGGTGGGGAGTCACATCTGAGATGAAGGAGGGAAGACGAAAGAGTGTGCATCATTGGCTGGGGTACAGATGGCAGACAGGTTCTCTGTGCCCTCAGGCCCCTCCACACCATCTCCATGCACGATCCCCACTGATGCCTGGAATCTCACTGTGGGAACCATCTCTCCAGCAAAACACTCTTCCCTCAAGGCTCCTCTTCAGAAGGCTCATGATTCTAGGAGGGTGACCAGGTGGATCATGTGGCCGAGTGACAAGAGTGAACATGACTGGCAGGGCATCAAAAGGTTAGAGTCAGAAAGGAGAGAGGAGGCTCACCCTTAGCAGTTTTCAACTCAACCCTGGAGGCCATCTGCTCCCTGCCCCCTCCCAGTACAGCAGGGGCCGAACTGAGCACGTCACCCAGCAGGAGGGGCTGGGCTGGGGGGTGATGGCCAGACAGGCTGGGAAACCCTACTCCTTTCCCAAACCTGGGGACCTGGCTCTCCTTCCCAACAGACTCACACCGATGATCACAATGCCCTCGAGGGCAGGCAAGAGGGCAGGGGGTGGCAGCTACAGCCAGGATTGCCACCCAGCACCATGCCAAGGGGAGCCGTCCATAGACACTGCCATGAAAATGGCACCTGGGGATCCCCCAGGGAGGTGGCCCTGCTCCAGGACCCCCTGAGGGCTTCACCTGTGCACTGTCTAGTGTGCCGGCTTTCTCCCTGCCTCCCAGGACAGGATTGTCTTTGGTGGTCTGAGGATGCCACGCGTGCATTCTGAAGGGAGTGTGGGATGAGGCCGAGGGTATCTGAATCCCAGAGCAAGGAGGAGGGGCTCTCCTGAGCCATCCACACTCTCCTGGTCTAATCCCAGCTAGGCCAGTGGTTCTCAAACCCAGGGCCCCTTTACACTCTTAAAAAAGATCCAGGTTCGAAATCCGTTTGACACTTCCTCAAAATGTTGAACACAGACTTACCATATGACCCAGAAACTCTACTCCTAGTTACACACCCAAGAGTACCCAAAACATACGTCCTCACCAAAACCTGTACACAAACGTTCTTAGCAGCACTATTCATGACCGCCAAAAGCAGAAACAACGAAAATATCCATCAACTGATGAATGAGGAAAATGTGCTATATCCATACGATGATTATTATTTACAATGGATTATGATTTACAATGGATTATTATTTACAATGGATTATTATTATTTACAATGGAGTATGATTTACAATGGATTATTATTTGGCCGTAAAAAGGAATGAAGTGCTAATACCAGCTACAACATGGATGAATCTTTAAAACATCCTAAGTAAGAAAAGCCAGTCATAAAAGACCACGTATTGTATGATTCCGTTTATACAGTGTGTCCAGAATAAGCAAATCTAGAGAGACGGAAGGTGAGGAGTGGTTGTCAGGGGTTGCAGGAAGAGGGGAACAGACTCCCAGTGGGTTCAGGACTTCTTTTTGGGGTCGTAAAAATGTTCTGGATTAGACAGTGGTGATGGTCACACATTTCAAGAATACACTAAAACCACTGAATCGCACCCTTTAAAAGTGTGAATTTTATGGCATGTGAATTACAACTTCAGCACAAACACAGACCATGAAAAAAAAAATGAATTATAACTCATTCACAGGCCAGACATGGTGGCTGAGGCCTGTAATCCCAGCACTTTGGGAGGCCAAGGCAGGAGGATTGCTTGAGGTCAGGAGTTCAAGACCAGCCTGGCCAATATGGTGAAACCCCGCCTCTACTAAAAATACAAAAAAAATTAGCTGGGTGTGGTGGCGAGTGCCTGTAATCCCAGCTACTGAGGAGGCTGAGGCAGGAGAATTGCTTGAACCCTGGAGGTGGAGGTTGCAGTGAGCCGAGATCAAGCCATTGCACTCCAGCCTGGGCAAAAAGAGCGAAACTCCGTCTCAAAAAATATATAGATATACATATATTCTTGAGAACTCCAAAATACATGGGCTATGACCATTGCTAGTTACCACACTAGAAATTAAAACTGAGAAAATCTTTAAAATGTTGTTAATTCATTAAAAATAATAAACCCATTAGACGTTCACATAATTTACATATTTTATGAAAAACTACACTTACAAAGCAATTAGACAAATGACACTGTTTTACATTTTTACAACTCTTTTTAATGTTTGACTTCACAAAAAACAGCTGGACCTTCATATCTGATTTTTCATTCACGCATTTGTGGCAGGTTGTTTCGCTGAAGTCCTTGAAGGACATCCAGACCCTCACAAATACGTATGATGGCTGAAAAGAGGAGGACTTTTTTTACTTTCCAGAAATTGTAAATATTTTTCTTTGATATTGCACCCAAACTCAACAGATGGTAATTTCTTAAAGATTAGTTCAAATGTGGCATCTGAAACCACATCAATGAACTTCTCCTTTTCTGTACATTTGTGACAGGATAAAACCCAGAGTCCTATGACTATTCTTATGGAAACACTTTTGACCTGTGGATCTCCGGAGGGTGTTGGGGGACCCCCAGAGAGGCCTGGGCCCAGCTTGGAGAACTGCTTTTCTCGGCCAGTGCCACCCATTTCTATGATGACCAGCAGAGGTAACATGCAGACCGCCTCCGCCTGACCACACAGGGTCCAGGCCACAACCTTAACCACACTGGTCGCTCTACCCCATGCACATGTCCAGGCACCTGCTCTTCCAGATCAGACCTGACCCTCCCCAGTGAGCTGCCTCAGCAAAGAGACCTGGGCAGCCCCAGACCCCAAACAGCCAAGCGTGGAAATCCCATGGCCGGGCCCAGATCACCCAGGACCTCCTCAGATGGAGGCTCAATCTTCTCCCAGATGAGGCTAATGGACAAGCAAGGAAAGACAGGTCAAAAATGATACCGTCCTCAAACAACTTTAAATCAGTGCCCCATCCCAGCCTTTAGAGCACTATGGTTTGCTTTGCTTTTTAAAAACTTCAGTTATCTTGTGCAGTCACACTGCTCCACATGGGTGTACAAAGCATTATTCTTTTCAAAGTAAACACTAAAATATACTACAGCCCACACGGGGTGGCTCACGCCTGTAATCTCAGCACTTCGGGAGACTCAGGTGGGTGGATCCCTTGAGCTCAGGAGTTTGAGACCAGCCTGGGCAACATGGAGAAACCCCGTCTCCACTAAAAATGCAAAAATTAGCCAGGCGTGATGGCGCGCACCTGTAATCCCAGCTATTCGGGAGGCCGAGGCAGGATAATCGCTTGAACCTGGGGGGTGGAGGTTGCAGTGAGCTGAGATCGCGCCACTACACTCCAGCCTGGGTGACAGAGCGAGACATAATCTCAAAAAAAAAAAAAAGATCTGTGAAATTTTGGCTTTTATGTAAACTTACTAGAAGTCCAGGAACAAGTCAACTGTCTTCCTGAGCCTCAGTTTCCCCATCGGCACCCAACAGAGCTTGAGACAGGCCGGAGCAACCGCCTCCTGCAATTTCAATGCCTGATTTGGACCCTGCTGAGTTACATGAGGGAGGCGAGGGAGGCAAGCGAGGGAGGCAAGGGAGGCAGGCAGCCAGCAGGCAGGCTGCTGGCTGCTCCCACGTGGGAGGTGGGAACTGAGCCCTCCCCAGCCCAGTCCACAGGACAGAGAGGAGGAGGCCGCGAGAACTGCTTCCTACATGTCCCCACCCCTCTCACTGCTGTAGCTTCAGGGCAGAAGAGCCACAGAGCCAAATGCTGCAGAGATGAAGGGAGACGGAAAGAGCCAAATGCTGCAGAGATCAAGGGAGACGGAAGGATGTCGCCTCCAGAGCTGGGGCCACGGGCAGCGCCAGGGCAGGTTCATCACTGATGGCAAGTCTGTGGCTGACCACGTTCACAGGGGTGGCCCTGAGCAAAGGTCGGACATGAGGACCCAGGAGAATTCAGGCCCCGGCTCTGGGACGGCTGTGCACCCCCACCCTGGCCGTGGCTGGCACCTCAGAAGGCACAGCTGTCCTTCACTCGCACGGAGCAACCTCGGGACAGATGGTGGGAGAGGAAGGGCAACTCGAGGAGGCACATTTTAGGAAACTGCCCACGGAGCCAGTTTCGATTCTCCAAACCTCGTCAGCATGCAGAGGCTCCCTGACTCGGCAGCAAGGAGGGCCTCATCAGCCGACCCCCATGCCCGGCACCCCCTTCACCAGTGGGTAAACTATGCTCGCCACCACTCAGCACTCACCTCTTGGGCTCAGAGGGCAGAAAGTCTGACCCTTCTCTCTTAAAAGCAGGGTCCTGAAAACTCCAGAGAGCAGTGCCCTGTGCATTAAACACAGACTGCGCCCTTGTACTCAGGTATGACCATTTGTCCTGGACAAAAATTAAACTGATGAGGGAACAAAATAGGGCCTTATAGAAGGTGAGTGGAAAAGCAGGGAAGGCAAACCCCCAAATTCAGGAGGGAGGATGGAATTGGCCTGGGGAGCAGAGGCAGGAGGTTCTGTGGACAGGGCTGGTGGAGCTCTGGGGGGAGCAGAGGCAGGAGGTTTTGTGGACATGGTTGATGGACCTCTGCGGGGAGAAGACGGAGGAGATTTTGTGGACAGGGCTGGTGGAGCTCTGCGGGGAGCAGACACAGGAGGTTCTGTGGACAGGGCTGGTGGAGCTCTGGCCACTTCCTCCGTAAACTAGAGACGTGATCCCCAGGGCCAGGTCTGTCTCTGAGGTCCTACCAGCTGGGACAGGTAAGAGGCTGGGGAAGGAGGAGCGTGTGTGTGTGCGCGTGTGTGTGTACAGGAGCATATTCAATGAGCACATAGGTCAAGGCTGCTGATGGGGAAGGCAAGCCCCTCGTGGAGAGGGTGGGCATCCACCCAGGAGCCCGCCCAGAAGTGTTCAGTTCTATCGACATGAAATTTCCATTTCTCCTTCCCTGCTGGACCTTGGGTGCCCTAGAGGGTCCCTACATCCTCCTCCTTCCCTCCCTTCCTGATGCCCACACAGAGCCTGCTGCAAAGTAGGTGCTCAGGGAATATCCATTTAATTCAACTGTATTTCATCAGAGAGATGTGGCTTTCCCAGACAAGGAAGAATTCAGAAAACAGCCCAGACATGCTCAGAGCAGACAGCTGGACTCTAACCAGGCTCTGCGACTTGCTGACTCACAGGCCGTTTGTCCCTCAAGATTCCCCACGGGGTAGTCGGCCTCAAGGCAGCTCCACCTGACGGCTGAGCTCGCTCCTTGCTGAGGGGCTGGTGCCCCCAGGAGCCTCCTCTGGGAAGCTGAGACCTCCTGGTGCCACCTCGACCCCGCCGGGCGACACACGCTGAGCAGAGGCAGCACTCGGGCTGGCCGGCCCAGCAGGCAGATGTTCCGGAACCCTTGTAAAACCCCGCAGTACAGGGACTAGGAGGACCCGAGGGGTACAGGGAACGGAACAGGAGTTGCCGGTGATAATTTCCCGAAAAATTCCTAGGGGACAGAGGCTCATCAGCCCCAGGCAACTTCCTGAGACAGATCGGTAAAAACAACCCCTTCTTCCAGGAGGATGCAATTCTCTCTCTAAAGTCGAGAGCTCACCACCCCGGGCGTTCGTCACTGCAGACATCACTGCAGACACAGAGACGGCCATTAGAGCTCACCACCCCGGGCGTTCGTCACTGCAGACATCACTGCAGACACAGAGAAGGCCATTAGAGCTCACCACCCCGGGCGTTCGTCACTGCAGACATCACTGCAGACACAGAGACGGCCATTATGCAGCCTCACGTGGTCACTCCTGGGGGCGGTAGGATATTTTATCCTAAAGAGAAAACACCTTAAATTCTCACATCAGCCACCCCCATGGCGACTCTTAACACCTTAATGTAGCACCTTCCAACTTTTCCTGGGCATTTATGTACAAATTGTAATAAAATTGGGTTCTTACTGCATACGCTGCTTGCTGGTTTCTAAATAAAATTGGGTTCTTACTATATATGCTGCTTGCTGGTTTTTTAAACCACCTTGTGCTTTCCCACAGTATTAAAGTTCTTTAAAAATATGATTTTAAACTATAACTTAGTATTCTGAATACAATACGTTTTACCATCTTCCTGTTTGGGAGCACATGGATTGTTTCCAATTTTGCTCGATTATATGCAGCACTGAAATGGACATCCTGGCAGATAAATCTCTGACGACTGCCTTAGGATAAGTTCCCAAAAGGGAAATGAAGTGCATTTTTTCAGTGTATTTTTTGAGATACCTTTTCCATAGTCAGGTTCACAGCCACTCAAAGCTGTCAGCTGCAGGCCTCATGCTTGCTGTCTCCAAAGTGCACGTACAAGTGTCCACTACACAAATTCTGCTGGAGGCAGCTGTGTCTTGGTAGCCTAATCTGCGGATCTCCAATTAGATGGTTTCAATAAGGCAGACGATCCTCTATTCGCAAAAAAATAAATAAATAAAATAAAATAAAGGGCCTCTTCTTTGCAAACAGTTGCATCTACTTAAAAGAAGGCTTCTATCTCCTTAACAGCATTTGTGGGCTCAGAAGCTGGTAAAGCCAGCACTGGCTTGAGAGCCCTGAGTGACCAGTGGCTGGGGCCGGTCACATGACACCCCTCCAGCCGACTGTTCCCCGCCCCGACTACAGGGTCCCGTAAACGGGCCTTGGGAGCTCATCCCCGTACAGGCTAGGAAGCAGTGCGCATAGTCATCACTCCAGGAGAACCGCGGCTCGACCCTGACCTTCCAAAACTCTCAGCAGCCACAGCACAGTGAGAAAAACAACAGCCGCCCGCAGCTGTCTGTCTCTAACACGTATCAGACTTTGAAAAACATATCCGGAGGCAAAACAACCTGCCTCAGAGAAGCCCGGCAAACACCCACGGAGTCTCTAGCCCGTCCACTGCGGGGGGACAGGGACAAGGCAACCACCCCAGCAAGTGCAGCTCCTTCTCCCCACGCCTTCTCCGAGGGCCAGCCCATCCACTGCGGAGGGACAGGAACAAGGACAGGGACAAGGCAACCACCCCACCCAGTGCAGCTCCTTCTCCCCACGCCTTCCCCCAGGGCCAGCCCATCCACTGTGGAGGGACAGGGACAAGGACAGGGACAAGGCAACCACCCCACCCAGTGCAGCTCCTTCTCCCCACGCCTTCCCCCAGGGCCAGCCCGTCCACTGTGGAGGGACAGGGACAAGGACAGGGACAAGGCAACCACCCCCAGCAAGTGCGGCTCCTTCTCCCCACGCCTTCCCCCAGGGCCAGCCCATCCACTGTGGAGGGACAGGGACAAGGACAGGGACAAGGCAACCACCCCCAGCAAGTGCGGCTCCTTCTCCCCACGCCTTCCCCCAGGGCCAGCCCATCCACTGCGGAGGGACAGGGACAGGGACAAGGCAACCACCCCAGCAAGTGCGGCTCCTCCTTCTTCCAGGGCTGTGATCGCTCCCCACCTTACACCCTGGCATTTTCACCTCTTCGATCTTGTTTCAGGGACACGTTCACTGATATAACTGAGGCTTCAGACTCCTAGGGTGTGGCACGAACGAGCGCGCTTTCATCCAGCCACAGGGTCCGACCCACGGTGAGCGTGGGCAGCATACCCGAGCTCCTGAGACCAGCAGATATGCTTGGCTGGGGACGCATTCCCAAGAGCACAGCCACACTGTGACCCCCGAGCGACTGTGACAAAGGGGGCCCGGGTATGAGGGTGCAGGTGTCCGGGTGAGACTATCTCTATGGTGAGAATAAAGGAAATGATGCAGGGTGAACAGTGGGAAGGAGGCGGCGGACGGAGGGGCTGGGGGAAGTCGCTGTGCCTAGGACACCCACGTGCGAAGGCCAACACCAGCGCTGCAGGACGCCAGTTGGTGTCGGCCACAGAGAGAGGGCTCAAGTGCATTTTCCACACCAGGGGTGGCTGGTGCCCTCTGAGCCGCTGCATCACGATGCTTAGAATGAAATGCACGGCCCGGCCAAGAGTGGCAGAACCGCCCGGCCGGCCCGTAGACTGAGGAGGGGTAATAAATGGTGGTCGTGAGCCCCCACGTTTGGACAGGTATGCTTGTCATGCAGTGTTACCCCAGCAATATATAACGGATAAAAATGGCATCTGGCTGATAAAATCCCAACCCTGACCTCAATGTCCAGAACTATTCAGTTTGATTTTCCACTTGTGGTGGAAAGGCCAAAAGACCAGACGAGGGAGGCAAACAGGAGACACAAGAGGCAAGCAAAACCCACTCCCCTCCCCTCCCAGGTGCCAGAGGAAGTACCCCGTGGAGAGGGCCTGGAGGCTTCGCAGGTGGCGCCTGCAGGGCTGGAAGAGAGGCTTCATCCCAAGTGCTAAATCTGAGCTGGCGCCCAGAGGGCTGGGTTGAAAAGGGGCTGGAGGCTGCCTCCAGCCTCCGTAGGAAAGCATGCTGTGATCTGTTAGTCACGTCTGCCCCCGGCGTGGAGGGAGAACGGCTGCACATTTGCTGCTGCAGAGTGTGCCATCCCACTGGGCGCTGTGCCTAGGCCAGGGCGACAGGGAGGAGATGGGGTTTAGAGGAGGGAAAAGAAGCTGGGACAAACATAAAAGAATACTTGCCACCGAGCCGGTGCTTCCCGAGGCCTCGAAGACACTGTGTGGGAGCCCTTCGTCCAACACAAGGTATTAATATCCGAGGGGACCCTTAGCAACAGCTCTGACATCTGCTCTGTTACTATGACACGGGAAACACGAGGAGGGCAGCAAGATAAGGTGAGCCCAGACGTCAACATTTCCTCCACCTGTCAGGCGGCGCTGGGAGGATTAAAGACTCAGAGAGGGAGCCTCAAAGGCCTGTCTAAACGCCCAAAGAACCACTCACTCGGAAGCGTTGCAGGCTGACTATGCACCAAGCGGGCTCGAGTGGATTCCAGAGTTGAAGCAGGAGCCCCGGGGAAACCAGTGCCTGACAAACCTCCCTCAAACTCCACCGCCCCCGGGCACCCTGCCAGGTCTGCCTGCTCGGGGCGGCTCCCCCTCCTCCCAGCTCCGATGCTCCTCCTCTCTTGCCCAGACCGTGGCAAATCTTCCTCATCTGCCTTGGAACCTGCTGGGGCTCCCCGTTGCCCCTCTTCACGTACAGCCAGAGAGACCATCCTTACAGCCCAGGTCAGGCCGTGTGATTCCCCTGCTCAGAAACCTTCGGTGGCTCCCCACTACTAAGGAAACAAGCCCTAGCTGCCCTCAAGGCCGTCCATGATCTGGCACAAACCACCCTTGCATTCTGCCAGCCACCCCTCTGCAAAACTGGTGCTCCAGCCACCAGGACCTTGAGGCATTGCAGCCGCCCAGCCTTGTCTCCGGCACCCTCTCACCTGGAACGCCTTTGGTTCACGCTGTCTACCTCCTCCACCTGGGGGTGGCCCAGCACCACCTCCCCTGGGAATTCTCCAGCTCCTCCCATCAGGCTCCCATTCGGCTTGAGCCCACCGCCCTCCCGTCAGCATTTCATTCCGCCCGCATCCTCGGGGGCATTTACCTGTTACCCCGATGCCCAGACATGGTGGGTCCAGTACCCCTTCAGGGGACTAATTTAACCGTCAAGAGTTTGCCACTCACTGGAACTACGTACATCGGTTACGCACCAATAATTTTTTTTTTTGAGACAGGGTCTTGCTCCGTTGCCCAGGCTGGAGTGCAGTGGCACAGTCACAGTTCACTGCAGCCTCCAACTCCTCGGCTCCCGTGATCCTCGCATCAGCCTCCCAAGTCGCTAGAACTACACGCCTGGCTAATTTTTTAATTTTTTGGTAAAGACAGGGTCTTGCTCTGTTGTCCAGGCTGGTCTCAAACTCCTGGGCTCAAATGATCCTCCTGCCTCAGCCTCCCAAGTAGCTGGGACTATGGGAGTACGCCACGACACCCAGCCTGCCAACAAAATTTTATCTTAAAAACCGCCTCACGGCATAAGGCTCAGCCTCGCTGGCCTCCTTAACCTGCCTCTTTCCCTCTGCCACACACGGGCTCTCTACGGACCCTCCAGCCCCTGCTAAGACTCCTGCAGCCTTTCTTGCCTGTGTGCTTTGAGGAGCAGCAATCCTGGACATGCCACCCAGGACCCCGTCCAGGAGGCACCCCAACTTGGTCACAGAGCTAAGCGTCTGCTCCTGTCCTCGGCAGGACCAACAGCGGCACCTCTCAGTTTCCTTGGCCTCGTTCATTCAACACACACACGCTGGGTGCTGACGAGGCACCAGGCCCGTGCCCAGCCGCTCAGTCTCGCTGCTCGAGGGCTGGGCAGGGGTTTTTTTTGTACCCCGGCAAGGCCCCTCATGGGGCACACGTAGGAGGTTTCACTTAATCCTGTGGGTCTTTTTTAACCTTGGAAAGTAAATCCTTGGGCATCTTTAATGACTGGCAACTCCCGCTCCAGTGGACCCCAAATCCCTGCTCGTCTCTTCATCTGACGCTGTTCTCATTCCCAGGCAGAAACACTCTGCAAAGCCTCCAATGCAAATGAGATGTGAAATAACCTACTTCTCCCCCATCTCAAGTGCCAGCCCTCAGATTTTAACAGCCACAGCTCTGCCTACGTGTCCCCAGAGGCATAGCTTGCTTTTGTCTTTTCTGAAAGGCCTGAAACAGTGTAGGTGGAACTGCTGTATCAAGGCAGTCACAGAGCTGAAGGTGGTGACAGCAGGGAAACCAGGCTGGGCGTGGTGGCTCACACCTGTAACCCCAGCACTTTGGGAAGCCAAGGCAGGAGGATCGTTTGAGCTCAGGAGTTCGAGACCAGCCTGGGCAACAGAGCAAGACCCTGTCTCTACAAAAAATTTAAAACTTAGCTGGGCATGGTGGCACATACCTGTAGTCTCAGATACTCAGGAGGCTGAGAAGGATCACTTGAGCCCAGGAGACGGAGGCTGCAGTGAGCCATGATTGCACCACTGCCCTCCAGCTGGGTAACAGAGCAAGACCCTGTCTCAAAAAAAAAAAAAAAATTTACAGGGTAACCACACAGAGAGAGAGAGAAAGAGAGAAGAGAAAATGAAATTCAAACTTACTGCAAACGTGACCAGAATAATACGTAGGTACCTGTGGCCCCTGAGCACTCTCTGCCCAGAAAATGCCCAAGTGCTCCCAGGCTGCCGGGCACCTGGCTTGGGACGGGCAGTATCGAGCATTCATGCTATTTGTCTTTTAATGCAGAAACGCAGGCCTGCTTCCATTTACGTGATGTATGTGGGTCTGGAAAGTCCCAGGCAGGCAGAATCTTTGCAGAGGAAACCTGATTTCGGCTCCCACCTGGGAACTGCTTGTTGAAGGAGCCCAAGAGAAACCTCTCCATGAAGCAGAGAAGCTTCTAGGGAAAAAGAAGCCTCAACCCTCCTCACCCGCTTGGAAAAGGCCCAGTCCTCAGGTGTGCTGAGGGCGGTGCTCCAGGCCCCGGGGGGCAGCGTCCCACACCCCTGCCTCCGCCAGCAGCTTCTGCACGGCCCAGCCCAGACTCCAGCTCCCAGGTGGCTCTCCGCGGGTCCTGCCAGGTACTTCTCCAACCTTCCTCCCCTCACCTCACCAGAGCCAGGGTTTGCTTACAGCCAGCAGCCAAGGCCATCCCCGGCTGACCTCGCCTGCTATCTGTGGGCCCAGCTGTCTCCTCTTGCTCACAGAAACACAAACAGGCGTTTCTCTGTTGCAACTCCAGGGTTAGGCACTGCCCTGCCTGGGAACAAGCTGTCCGGTTCTCTGCACACTACCCATTCTCCTGGCAGAGGCTAAGACCCCAAATAAGTGAGAATGCCCATAAGAGGGCCAGCGGAGGGCTCAGGCAACAGTGGGGGCCACCCCAGAACATGGCTTGCTACAGAGAAGACAGGCAGGGGGAAGGGTCAGACAGAACCACTGGCACTTAGCTAGGAGTTTTCAGGGCCTCTAGGAGGGGCCCCCAAGTTAACAAACATCCCTACACGTGCCCAGCCTGACCCTGCACTACCAAACTGGGAGAGGAAGAAGCCGCCTCCATGGGTGCTGCCCACCTGCCAGGTGCCCGCCACTGGCTGACCAACTGGAATCATCACAAGCCCCAGAGGACGACGTGATCATCACTCCTTTCAGAAAAGAAGAAACCAGCTCGAGAGGGGCAGCCACGTGCCCAAGGCCCCATAAGCTGGCACCAGGTGCCCAGTTTGGCCCAACGGAGCTGGGCTGAGCCCAGGTGCTTTCTATCCCCCTCCTCCTCCCAAGGCGTCGGGTTGCAGGTGCGGTGCCTACAGGTGCCTAACGAAAGCAATGAGCCGGGTATTCTCCGAGCACCTGCCACACACCCAGCAGCGGGGAGCACAGAGTTCCCAGAAACTGTAAGTCGCGCAGTAATTGGCCAAACGGGAGTTCTGAGAAGAACTGGGCCGGGGCAGCCTGAAGGGGATTGCAGAGGAGACGGGCTGGCTGTTTCCCGGAGCAGGCAGGGGCTGGGACCTGTGGGACCTCAGTCACCAGCCCTCAGTGCCACTGTTGTCCCAGCCTAGGCCCTCAGAGCAGAGGCACAAAGGAGCTGGTGTCTGAGCCCTGGGGCATTTTCAAAGACAGCCCCTGCTCCCCACCAGACCCACTGCCTGAACCAGGTGTCACCCAGACCTCCTCAGTCACCCCATAGTCCTAAGGGGTCCCCCTGGCTCCAGGCTCCCCAGCTCAGACCCGGCCAATCCTGCCATCAGACAGGCTCTCCAAAGGCCCCGCTCCACCCAAACACCTCAAAATCAAGCCCAGGGTCCTCAGCTGGGAGTTCATGGCCATCCACAGACTCCACCGTGCCTTGCCAAATTTGTCTCCAGACAAACACACACCTGGTGTCATACCTCATGCCCAGGCCCAGGCCTCCCCACATCCACACTCACTGCCCTGGGCTCAGGCCTCCCCACATCCACACTCACTGCCCCGGGCTCAGGCCTCCCCACATCCATACTCACTGCCCCCCACCCAGGCCTCCCCACATCCACACTCACTGCCCCCCACCCAGGCCTCCCCACGTCCACACTCACTGCCCCCCACCCAGGCCTCCCCACGTCCACACTCACTGCCCCCCACCCAGGCCTCCCCACATCCACACTCACTGCCCCCCACCCAGGCCTCCCCACATCCACACTCACTGCCCCCCTCCCAGGCCTCCCCACATCCACACTCACTGCCCCCCACCCAGGCCTCCCCACGTCCACACTCACTGCCCTGGGCCCAGGCCTCCCCACATCCACACTCACTGCCCCCCACCCAGGCCTCCCCACATCCACACTCACTGCCTCCCACCCAGGCCTCCCCACATCCACACTCACTGCCCCCCACCCAGGCCTCCCCACATCCACACTCACTGCCCCCCTCCCAGGCCTCCCCACATCCACACTCACTGCCCCCCACCCAGGCCTCCCCACATCCACACTCACTGCCCCCCACCCAGGCCTCCCCACATCCACACTCACTGCCCCCTCCCAGGCCTCCCCACATCCACACTCACTGCCCCCCACCCAGGCCTCCCCACATCCACACTCACTGCCCCCTCCCAGGCCTCCCCACATCCACACTCACTGCCCCTGCCCAGGTCTCCCCACATCCACACTCACTGCCCCCTCCCAGGCCTCCCCACATCCACACTCACTGCCCCTGCCCAGGTCTCCCCACATCCACACTTACTGCCCAGGGCTGAAGCAATCGCTGCCTCGTCCTCATAAGCACACTGTTTTTACCTCTTCCCAGAACTTCGCAGTTTCTGGTGAACGTGTCTGACCTCTCCTACTGGACCAAACACTCCCTCAGAGCAGGATGCCTCCTGCCCATATGGTACTGAAAACTGTGGCACTGGAATAGAACTGAGAGCCCAGAAATAAACCCATACATCCGTGGTCAACTGACTTTCAACAAGGATGCCGAGACCATACGACGGAGAAAGAACAGTCCTTCCAACAACATCTGCTGGGACAAGTGCAGAGCCACCTGCAGAAGGATGACGTGGACCCTGACATCACACCATTGCAAAATTTAACTCAAACGGATCAAAACCTAATGCAAGAGCTAAAACTATGAAATTCGTATAAGGAATGTCAGGGTAAATTTTCATGACTTCAGATTTGGCAGTGATTTCTTAGAGGACACCAAAAAATAGGTGTCATCTACATTTTGGTGTCATCTAAGATTTGGCAATGATTTCTTAGATGACACCATACACACCAAAAGAAAAAAGAGACAAATTGGATTTTTTATCATAATTTTTTTGAGACGGGGTAATGCCGTGCTGTTTAGGTTCATCTCAAACTCCTGGGCTCAAGTTGTCCTCCCACCTCGGCCCCCCAGATAGCTGAGATGACAGGCATACACCACTGTGCCTGGCTGACTTTATCGTAATTTGTAAATCTGTCATAATTTACAACTTTGTCCATCAAAGGACACTATCGAGAAGGTGAAAAGACAGCCCATAGAATGGGAGAAGATATTTGCAAACCATATATCTCATAAGGGTCTAGTATCTACACTATATAAATAATTCTCACAACTCAACAACAAAATGACAATTCCATTTAAACATGGGCAAAGGATTTGAAAAGACATTTCCCCAAAGAAGATACGCAAATGCCCAAAAATCACATGAAAAAAGACTCAATATTGTTAACCATCAGGAAAATACAAATCAAAACCACCATGAGATACCACTTCACATCCACTAGGATGGCTACACTAAAAAATATGAAAAATAACAAGTGTTCGTGAGGATGTGGAGAAACTGGAACACTTGTATCTTGTTGGTGGGAATGGAGATGGTGCAGCCACTATGGAAGACAGTTTAGTTCCTCAACAAGTTAACACACAATTATCATCTGACCCAACAATTTCGCTCCCAGGTATAGACCCAAAAGAATTGAAAGCAAGTGTTCAAATTAAAACCTGTACACCAATGCTCATAGCAGCACCATTCACAATAGCCAAAGGGGGAAACAACTCAAATGTCCATCAACTGGGAAAAGGACAAACAAAATATGGTGTATCCACACAAAAGGATATTATTTGGCTATAAAAAGGAATGAAGTATCGATTCATGCTACAACACAGACAAACCTTGAAAATCTGTTAAAAGAAGCCAGTCACAAAAAACCACATATATGATCCCATTTATGTAAAATGTTCAGAATAGACAAATTTATAGAGACAGAAAGTAGATTAGTGGTTGCCTAGGGCTTGTTGGGGTCAGGGAAGGGGGACAGCAAAAGGGAATAGGGTTTCTGTATGTGGTGATGATTGGTGATGGTGATTAGAAGGTCATCCATGACATCCCCCATTACTCTGGTGAATGAAGACCATCTATCCCAAATTAATATGTTATTAATTTATTCTCCTCATAGAGAATTTATAGAGTCTCATTGACCAACCAGCCAGACATGATGCTAATCTGGGTTCCAAAAACAAGAAACACCACGACAGATCAAGGAAATTGTTAGTGATGGAATCCAAATGTCAGGCATGTAAGTTTCACTATAACATTTGTTCCACTTTGCTGCATGTTTTTAATTATTCATAATAAATTATTATAAAAGTAAAATTACAAGTAGGTATTTTGGGCATTCAACCTGTAGAAACCAGGTTCACAACATTAGGAGGACACAGACAATGACCTTGCAAGGTCCCACTTGCAAAAAAACACATCCATGCCTGTTCCTGCTCCCCACAGGTGTCCACAGGCGACACACCAGGTGACATGGCTGCCTCAGGGAAGCAGAAGATGCAGGACTTCCCTATCGTGGCACAGGACTGAGGGCTGTGGAGTCAGTCTCTACGTAAACACATTCAGCTCTCTGAGTTCAAACCAAGTCAGAAAATGGGCAGAGCCACTGCTTTTATTAGCTCCAAATGAATCTGGCAAGGGATGCTGGGACTGACAAAGCAGGCGCTCAACCCTGTCACGCACTCCAGGTAGCCCTGCCAGCAGGCTGATGAATTCTCTTCTTCTGACAGGTGACAAAGGGCAGTGGTTACAGGTCTGGGCTCAGGGTCGCGTATCTGAGGTTTGCATTCTGGCTGCGAATTATGAGCTTGGTGACCTTGGGCAACTTCCTTCATTTCTCTAAGGCTTGGGTGCATCATCTATAAATGAGTAGCTGCCTCCTGGGGCTATTGGGAAGAATAAATTCAACCGGTGGTTCTGAATCGGAGTGATTTTGTCCCCCAAGAGACATTTGGAAATATCTGGAGACATAGTTGCGGGTGCTATTGACTACTATCCATCCAGTGGGTAGAGGCCAGGAATGCTGCTAAACATCCCTGAGGCACAAAACAGCCCCCATGACAGAGTTATCCAGCCTAAACGCCAAAGCACTGGAGTTGAGAAAACCTGATAGAGGTGGTGTAGGTAACACAACCAGCACAAAGCCTGTCACAGTGTGCATTCTCAGGGTAGGGCCATCATGGCCATCCTCATCATCACCATCATCATCATAATATTCACCATCATCACCATCAGTCATCATCATTACCATCACCATCACTGTCATCTCTGTCATCACCACCATCATCACTATCATCACCCCCATCATCACCATCATCATCGTCACCACTGTCATCATCGTCATCACTATCACCATCATTGTCACCATCATATTCACCTCCAGTCATCATCACCATCAGACATTGTCATCATCACCATCATCATTTTTACCATCATGATCACCAACACCACTATAATCACCCTCATCATCATCACCATCATCACTATCATCACCATCACTGTTACATCATCATCATATTCACCTCCATCAGTCACCATCACCACCATCACTGTCATCTCGGTTACCACCACCATCACTATAATCATCACCATCACCATCACCGTCATCATTATTACCATCATCATCACCAACACCACTATCATAACCATCACCACCATCAGACATCATCACCATCATCACCCACATCATCATCACCATCACCACCATCAGACATCATCACCACTATCATGACCATCACCCACATCATCATCACCATCACTGTCATCTGTGTCACCACCACCATCATCACTATCATCATCACCATCATCATGATCACCATCATCATCACCAACACCACTATCATCGCCCTCATCATCACCATCATTGTCAATCAGCATCACCATCATCACTATCATCACAATCACTGTTACATCATCACCATGTTCACCTCCATCAGTCATCATCACCACCATCACTGTCATCTCAGTTACCACCATCACTATAATCATCACCATCATTGTCAATCACCATCACCATCATCACTATCATCACAATCACTGTTACATCATCATATTCACCTCCATCAGACATTGTCACCATCAGTCATCACTATTCTCATCATCATCCTCTTCTGTATTGGGGGAAATGCCCAGAGGGGCTCATATCTGGGCAGGAGACCTGATGAATAGAAAGTGTATATACTGGGAAGAGGAATCAGCATGAGGGGAAAGGCCACCTGGCCTTGCTGAGAGAGGCAGGAGGCCCGTTGGTGAGGCCAAATCAAAAACCATCCTGGCCTGTAATCCCAGCATTTTGGGAGGCCAAGGCGGGAGGATCGATTGAGCCCAGGAGTTTGAATCCAGCCTGGGCAACATGGTGAAACCTTGTCTCTGAAAACACACACACACACAGAAAAAATTAGCTGGGCTCAGTGACACACACCTGTAATCCCAGCTACTTGGGAGGCTGAGGTAGGAGGGTCACCTGAGCCTGGGGAGGTTAAGCCTGCAGTGAGCCATGATCGTGCCACTGCACTCCAGGCTGGGCTACAGAGTGAGACCCTGTCTCAAAGGCAAACAAACAAACAGAACACCCTAAATCCCATCTGCAAAGGTGGCAGTAGCTGGCAAGTCTACAGCCACTGCTGTGAGGACTCCATCTGCCTGGTCACTTTCCCACCTCTCTAACTTCTCATTGCCATTAGCAGGAACTTCCTCAAACAAAACCACCGGGGGGTTCATCCTCAGAGAAGCTGGAAGGGGGAATCCCTGGGGTTTCTACGCCTGTATAGCCAGGCTTGGAGAAACAGAAACAGCCACCCAGGACTGGCTAGAGAACTGAGTCCTGGGGCAAGTGAGAGGAGGCTAGGAGCAGTGCCCTGAGGCTGAGAAGTGGGTGCCTGCTGGGGCACGCGTGCTCCCCATCTGCACGCACACCCTGCTGGGGCACGCGTGCTCCCCATCTGCGCGCACACCCTGCTGGGGCACGCGTGCTCCCCATCTGCGTGCATACCCTACTGGGGCACGCGTGCTCCCCATCTGCGTGCACACCCTGCTGGGGCACGCGTGCTCCCCATCTGCATGCACACCCTGCTGAGGCAAGCGTGCTCCCCAACTGCCCCATCTGCCCGCACACCCTGCTGGGGCATGCCTGCTCCCCACCTGCACACACACCCCGACTTTGCACTGTAAGGACAAATGGGATGCCAGTGGGCTCTGAGTCTCGAAGACCAGGACATAAGGGAAACACAAAATGTCACATGGGGGAGGTGAAAGGTTTGTCTGTCAATGATCAATTAGGAGAACCACCATTGAGGGCTTACCATTTGCAAGGTTTAGTTCCAAGTGCTTATGGAATCATCTCCTTTATCTTTCAAAGTAACCCTATGAGGCAGGTTTTAACAACCCCATTGTACAGGTGAGCAAACTGAGGCTCAGAGAGGTAAATGACAGCTGGTAAGCGACAAAGGCCCAGGATTTGAACTCCAAGCATAAGCTCTTAACCACAAGCATAGTCCAACTTCTCAACACTTCATAGTACTCTTTGCTAGACAGAACTATGTGTGTTTGGGGCCTTTTCCCGTCCCAGTTGTGTTAGTCCGTTTTCACGCTGCTGATAAGGCATACCCAAGACTGGGCAATTTACAAAAGAAAGAGGTTTAATGGACTTACAGTTCCACGTGGCTGGGGAAGCCTCACAATCATGGTGGAAGGCAAGGAGGAGCAAGTCACGTCTTACATAAACGGCAGCAGGCAAAGAGAGAGCTTGTGCAGGAAAACTCCCCCTTACAGAACCATCAGCTCTCGTGAGACTTATTCACTCTCATGAGAACAGCACGGGAAAGACCCGCCCCCATGATTCAATGACCTCCACCGGGTCTCTCCCACAACAGGTGGGAATGCAAGATGAGATTTGGGTGGGGACACAGCCAAACCATATCATCAGTCATCCCATGTACGCACATAATCTTTTTTCCTTCTCCTTTCAGATAAGTCAGAGACAATAAATAAGATTATAAATAGAAAAACACTATTTTGTAAAATATAAGAAAACAAACAACAGACACTTCACTGAAGATATACAAATGGCAAACAAGCCAATGAAAAGATGTCCAACATGATATGTAATTAGGGAATTGCAAATTAAAACAACAAGATACTACTACACACCTGTTAGAACAGCCCAGATCCAAAACACTGACAACACCAAATGCTAGTGAGGATGTGCGGCAACAGGAACCTCAAACACTGTAAAATGGCCCAGCCGGCCAGGCGCGGTGGCTCACGCCTGTAATCCCAGCACTTTGGGAGGCCGAGGCGGGAGGATCACGAGGTCAGGAGATCGAGACCATCCTGGCTAACATGGTGAAACCCCGTCTCTACTAAAAATACAAAAAATTAGCCAGGCATGGTGGCAGGCACCTGTAGTCCCAGCTATTCAGGAGGCTGAGGCAGGAGAATGGCGTGAACCCGGGAGGCAGAGGTTGCAGTGAGCCAGGATCATGCCACTGTGCTCCAGCCTAGGCAACAGAGCGAGACTCCGTCCCAGATTTTAAAAAAATAAATAAATAAATAAAAATAAAGCCAACCTGGGCAGCACAGTGGGACTCTGTATCTATGAAAAATAAAAAATTTTCAACAGGGAACCCTCAAGCACTGCAAAACAGTACAGCCAACCTGGGTAGCACAGTGGGACTTTGTATCTATGAAAAATAAAAACATGTTTAGCCAGGCGTGAGGGCACATGCCCACAGTCCCAGCTCCTCGAGAGGCTGAGATGGGAGGATGGCTTGAGCCCCAGAGCTCAGGGTGGCAGGGAGCCGTGACTGTACAACCACACTCCAGCCTGGGTGACAGAGCAAGACTCTGTTCAAAAAAAAAACCAGCCCAGCCACTTTGGAAGGTAGTTTGTTACAAAGTTGACTATACTCTTACCAAAGGATCCAGCAATCACATTCCTTGGTATATGCAAATGAACTGAACATTTATGCAAATAAACTGAACAGTTATCTCTATTCAAGAACCGGCACACTCATGTTGACTAAATATTTATTCATAATTGCAAAAACTTGGACACAACCAAGATGTCCTTCATCAGGTGAATAAACAAAATATGGTACCATATATTCATACGATGGAACAGAATTCAGTGATAAAAAAAATGAGCTAGTAAGGCTGGGCAGGATGGCTCATGCCTGTAATCCCAGCATTTTAGGAGACCGAGGTGGAAGGATTACTTGAGGCTAGGAGTTCAAGGCCAGCCTGAGCAAAATAGTGAAATCCCATCTCTACCAAAAAAAAAAAAATTAAATTAATTAAAAGAAAAATGAGGCTACTCTGGGCACCCTGCCTATGGGGCAACCCTTCTCTGCAAGGAGCAGTTAAAAAAAAAAAAAAAAACAGAGCTGGCAAAGGGAAGGAAACCAGTCTGAAAGGGCTACTTACTGCAGGGTTCCAACTACATCTATGACATTCTGGAAAAGGCCAAACTATGGAGACAGTAAAAAGACCAGGGATTTGGGCGTGGAACAGGAAGGATGAGGACATGGATTGCAGGGGATTTTGAAGGCAGCAAAGCCATTATTCTCCCCACATGTCCTTACACATTGGTTGAAGTCCACACTACCTACACCTCCAAGATCCAACCCTAAGTGTACACTACACGTTTCAGTTAATAATAATGTATCAGTATTACCACATTTATTGTAACAAATGTACCTCACCAAAGCAAGATGTTAATCATGGGAAATTGAAAGAGGTAAGAGGTTAGACGGGAACTCTGTACTTTTTGTTCAATTTTTTCTGTAAACCTAACACTGTTCAAGAAAAAAAAAAAAAAGTAAAGTGCTACCAAATGCAATGAAAAAAATTTTAATTTTCTTCTTCATAGAGAAAACAAAAATAGCACACTAATGGTCATCAATGCGGAAGAATCTTGCCACGCCACTAATATTACATTTGAGTGTTATACCCTCCCGAATGCTTTTGTGTGGACTAATCACAGGCGCCCATCATCCCTGTTTGCTAAAGGAGGAAGGTACGTACTGTCCATGCCTGTGTTCCATCCCCACCACGTGGCCCTCCCTTGGGAGTGCAGAACACTGAAAGGTCAACAAATACTGGGCCCCAGTTCTTTCTTCACCACATGCATCACAGTTGGAATCTGTGTTTATTTCTTTGTTTACGTGTTAATCTCTGGAAGGTGCACGGGGAGAAGGGTCACCTCCATTGTGCTGGCTCTGAAGAGCCACTGCATATTGCACAGTGCACGAGATGAATCCAAAATGAATCAGACAGCGGCTCCAATAAATGCTGAGGCCATGCAAAGAACACTGGGAGTGAAGAGAAGGCGCAGTGAAGATCTTGCTCTGTGGCAGTCCTGGAGGGCTTCAAAGAGAAGAATGTGGTGCAGGGCTCAGAGGGAAAAGGAGGGACTTGGCAGGCAGAAGGCGGCATTCCAGGGAGAGAATGGTCCTCCCAGAAGTGCCACAAAGGAAGAGGAAACTCACTCAGAGAACTAGGGTAATTGGGCAGGAGGGAAACTCGCCTGGGCAGGTTAGTGACTGCCCTGAGGTCACAGCTCGCTGGCACCAACTTGGGCAGAGCTGGGAACTCCGAAGCTGTAGAAACAGCCAAGTGCACCTTGAGCTTTCACTGAAGTCAGGCTGAGAAGAGAGGAAAGTGAACACACCCTCCCCATTTCACCCACATCTCCCAACATCCAGGGGCCAGGAGCGTGCCCAGAAATTACCAGCTCAAACTCAAAACGGCTCTAAGGTTAAATGCACGTTCTATCCCACCACATATTGATTATTTCAAAAATTAAAATGACTGGGCACAGTGGACCATGCCTGTAATCCCAACACTTTGGGAGGCCAAGGTGGGAGGATTGCTTGAGGCCAGGAGTTCGAGACCAACCTGGGCAATGTAGCAAGACCCCATCTCTATAAAAAAACTTTTTAATAAAAATAAATGTTAAAAATTAACTAATTAATTCAATTTAATTAAAATAATGCTTCTCCTCCACCTTAAGACATAACCTTCCAAAAATGTCTTCCAGTAAAATCGAGTCCAGGATTATGCAACTCTAGTTTTATGTAGTAATAGCAGCAGCAGCTGACATTTCTGTAACACCTTATCTATATCATCACTCACAATCTCCACTGCAATCCCATCGAGGGCCATCAGCACCCTGATATTACTGCTGTGCCCAGCACACCACAGGGACAGCACACACCCACACAGAGGAGCACAGAGGCCAATTAGATTCCTCCAAGTTAAATAGTGTGTCCACAGTCTCACTACTGCAGATGCGATCTCCCTTTCAGAGGTGTAGGTTTGCAATTGGACTCTACAGCTAACCAGCGGTTTAATTTGGGGCTTGTTACATTTCCCTACACTCCATTTCTTCCTCTGTACAACAGAGGTAATAAGTAATGCATTCCTCAACAGGTTTTTTCCAGAGTGAATTGTGGTAACAGAGTAAAAGTTCCAGGCTGGGCGCGGTGGCTCACGCCTGTAATCCTAGCACTTTGGGAGGCTGAGGCAGACGGATCACAACATTGAGACCAGCCTGGCCAACATAGTTAAACCTCATCTCTACTAAAAATACAAAAATTATCTGGACGTGGTGGCACGCACTTGTAATCCAAGCACTTTGGGAGGCCGAGGTGGGCAGATCATGAGGTCAAGAGATCAAGACCAGCCTGGCCAACATGGGTGAAACACCATCTCCACTAAAAATACAAAAATTAGCTGGGCATGGTGGTGCATGCCTGTAATCCCAGCTACTCAGGAGGCTGAGGCAGGGGAATCGCTTGAACCGAGGAGGCGGAGGTTGCAGTGAGCCGAGATCGCACCAGTGCACTCTAGCTGGTGACAGAGCAAGACCCCATCTCAAAAAAAGAAAAAAAAGTTCCAAACACAGTATCTGGTACCTAGCAGGCCCTCACAAAACAAAACAAAACAAACCCGTTTTTTAAACCAAGCTGGTCCCTGAATGCTGGTGAACTTCTCTGCACTAAAAGGATGAAATGGGAATTAAAAAAACTGTGACCCTCTGACCGCAGGCCCTGATGATGGATGAAATCTTGGCCTGGGCTGTCAGCCAAGGCCATCTGGGCCAAACCATAGGGCAGGAAACAGCAGGCTTCCTCCTCCTGTCTGAACTCTGGCCCAGAGAGGAGCTTCCTTCAGCTGGCCGCACCCACTTCCCCGACAACATTCCAGAACATTCCATGATAGGCCAGGAGACTCCAGGAAGAGGTCACTGAGTAGCTCTTAGCATCTCCTCCCAGCCCAGCCAGGAGAAGATGCTCCCCCCTTCTAGGACTCCATGTACAACTTCTGAACTGTACCCCTGCCCATCACCCACGGCCTCCCCACAGAGGGCCAAGGCTCAGCTTGTCCACCTCCGACCTACCTCTCTCCAACGTCTCTAGGCTGCCCCCCAAGCCAGTAAGAGATGTCCTGGGTGGCTGGGTTGCTTGTCCTTGGCTATGGCCCTAGTTTGGCTTCTTAAACCCTCTTTACCTGGGCCCTTAACTGGTCATCTGCCTCCAGTCCTGGTATCCACTACACATAAACGAGACTCTTCAAGGACTGTCAAGAAACACTCCCCTCCTCAAGCACCCTCAATAGCTCCCACTGCCTCCTGAAAAGTTCAGAGGCCACACCCTGAGACTGACGGTCCTCCACAATATAGTCCCACACCTACCCTCTGTTCCCTACAGGACTCACCTGCTGCAACCAAAATAGATTACACCAAGAATCGTACCCACATGTCTGGACCTGTAAGTACAGACCCACCTCCCATCTCCACCTAGCTGAGTCTCACTCCTCCTGCACCCCGCCTGTCTCTTCCATGAGCCTCTCTTTTTCTTGTCTCTGAATTCCTCCAGCATGCAATTTCCAAAGCACAGGCCTCCACACGCCACCAGCCATCCCCACGTGGCTCCCGTACGATTCTTTACTTAATATTTCCCTTTAAATCAACCCACTCTTTTACTTGAACAAATTTATTTTCAAAGGAAACTGTATATCTCCACCATAAATAGAAAAACCATGCCATATGCCACAAATAGAAGGCAGATGAAAAAAAACAAGTTATGCTCTAATACACATGAAAATAAATCATCAGGAAAACATTTTTAAATGCTTGTCCATGTGCCTGACGAGGTAAACCTATATACAGGTTGTAAATGGAACAGCACCTCGAGGGACAAGGGTCCCGAAACGGGCCCCTGCATGTGCGTACAGGCCGTGCTTACATCCTGACAACTTCAACTGCTCCTGACCAAGTCAACTGGCCACGCGGCCTTCCAAAATCTTCAAAAATCCCCTCCTGCTCTAAGACGCGTGGCCTTGGCACTTTATGTTCTGCTTTCTTTGTGGCCCCTGGGTTTTTCGGCCCCATCTCACAGTTATCTGGGGACTTGTCACCAAATGTGAGTATCCCAGGGTAGGGAGCACAGAGCCTGCTGCAGCCCCTGAGCCAGTCTTGCACGCAGCATAACACGCAATACAAACAGCTCTCCAACAGCACGCTCTGGTCTGCTCCGATGCGTGGCCCCCATTCTCTGCCTGACCCCAGGCCCATCTGCTGCTAGCGCACAACCCCTCTGCCCCACTCCCCCAAATCCATCTCTGTCCACTGGGGTGTTTCAAAGGACCACACAGAAAGAGCAACGGAGGCACCAGCGGGGCATGAGGCTGTTCTCCAGCCCCGGCTGCCTCTTCTTTAGAAGCAGCAGGACCTGCGGCACGAGGCTGTTCTCCAGCCCCGGCTGCCTCTTCTTTAGAAGCAGCAGGACCTGGGGCAGCCTGGAAAAGCAAGTTTCCAGTCAACGATTAACCAGACGCTCTCCCAGCAAAGACACAAACCTTTTCCCCGGAAGTTAGCAAAGTTCTGTGAAAACCCCTGCATGAACTGGGCCCCTGACTCCAGGAAAACAGAGGCATCTTCCAATGTCCTTGGAGCCATGAGACCCCGAAACACCTACCGGGAACAGAGGGGCTTCACCCAGACAGGCCCCACCAGGGAGGAGGAGGCCGCTCTCCCTCCCACCACCGTTGTCGGGGGTGACCCGAGGTGTTCCAGATGAGGAGCTGAATCACTGGGACTTAAGTCAATAAGTGGCAGCCACCAGGCAGGCCCAGCTGGAGCCAAACCAAGGCCTGGATTCTCCTCGTGGATGTCTGGTAAGGCCCCACCACGTACCCCAGTCACGTAGTCTCTAAAACTGAACAGATTTGGGACGCTTCCTCTTAGAGGGCAGCCCTCTTTGGGACTGTTAGTCTGGCCACTTTTACACATTTCAAGCATTTTTTGGGTTAGAAAGGGCACATTTTCTGTATCCAAAACAGCCCTTACAGGCAGCAGTGGTGGTGCACGGGGCCTGCGTCAGCATCTCATCGCTTCCTGAAGCCCCGCTGCCTGGAGTGGGGCCCCTTTTGGGTGTGGCTCTTCAGGAGCAAGGCAAATTGACGCACAGAGAACTTGACAGATGTGTAAATGGAACAGCTTCCCGGAGGTACCTCGAGGAGGGCAAGGGTAATGAAATGAATGAAATGAACCCCTGCACAGCGAGGGAGCACTTACACCCTGACACCCTCCTGCAGGGAGAAGGAAGATGACAAGGATCTCTCTGTTGACCTTTTCATAGTGCAAACAAGCTACTGATAGAAAAAAGAAAATGTTTTCATGCTTAAAAAAAAAATAAACACCATCAGCAACCTTTCCCCATGGGGAGCAGCAGCAGGTGCTACCACAAGAGAGACAGACAGATGGATATAATTGCCAAGAGGCTCTCAAACTGGGTTCCAAGGAGCCAGGGGTGTGGAGACCCTCTTCAGGACTGTACAGGCGAAGCAGGGGGCTGGGAACAAGGCCGGTTATTATAACCCAACAAACTGGGTTCCAAGGAGCCAGGGGTGTGGAGCCCCTCTTCAGGACCGTGCAAGCAGAAGCAGGGGGCTGGGAACAAGGGGGTTATTACAGCCCAACCCAGAGCAACTCAGCTTTTTCCTCGTCATCTGTCAGGCTTCCAGGTAAGACTTCATTTGAAGAAAAGGTCCTGCAGTAAAGATGTTGAGAAGTGCTGATATGCGCTGCTGGTTATATGAAAGGGTGGAAGGAGGACTGGCACGGTGGCTCACTCCTGTAACCCCAGCTACTCCAGAGGCCGAGGCGGGTGGATCACCTAAGGTCAGGAGTTCGAGACCAGCCTGGCCAACATAGTAAAAACCCATCTCTACTGAAAATACAAAAATTAGCCAGGTGTGGTGGCAAATGTCTGTAGCCCCAGCCATTCAGGAGGCTGAGGTGGGAGGGTGGCTGGAGTCTAGGAGTTTGAGGCTGCTGTGAGCCATGATCTAGCCACCGTACTCCAGCCTAGGTGACAGAGTGAGACCTCGCCTTAAAATTTAAAAAATAAAATAAAATTCATGGGTAGGCCAGGCATAGTGGCTCACGCCTGTAACCCTAGCACTTGGGAAGGCTGAGGCTTGGCCAGACATGGTCGTGGGCAACTGTCGTCCCAACTACTCGGGAGGCTGAGGCAGGAGAATCGCTTGAACCCGGAAGGCGGAGCTTGCAGTGAGCCGAGATCGCGCCACTGCACTCCAGCCTGGGCAACAGAGCGAGACTCCGACTCAAAAAAAAAAGAAAGAAAGAAAGAAAGTGTGGAATGTGCTGGAAGCCATCTCTGAGTGTGCGGGACCACACACCACACACATACCAAGGCCTGTGGGAGACCCGCACACCACAGCCCCAGGCCTGCAGGAATCAGCTGGTCTTTGTCCTGCTCATGCACTCCGTGTAGAAGAAATGCAGAAGAGAAGCCTCCTTTGCCAGGGTCCAGCCAGGCCACGCTGCTCTTCCCCTGGCAGGACCACAGGTCGGGAGGACCAAGCTCAGAAACGCAAATGACACCAAATCAAGTGGAGCCTCGAGCCAAGTGAAGCTTCTGGAAAAGAGACTTGAACCCAGCAGGGACAGGGGCTCGATGCAGACGTCAGAGCCAGAGGTGTGGATCCAGAGACCAGAGGCCAAAGAGATGTGATAAACTATGTCAGTGACTGGAGCCGACCCTGGTCAGTCCCTGGGGCAGGCATGGCAGCAAGAGGCTGGTTTCCACATGTGCCCAGAGTTTGCTTCATGGAAAGGCCAGCTCTGCGCAAAGGTCCAGGGGGGACCAGTCACGAAGGTGTGAAGAGGCCTGAGTGTTTGTCTTCCATTCAGCTGAGAAAGGCAGAACGCCGCCACACTGCTGCACAGACGGCACCTTCTACACCTTTACACTCCTCACACTGAGCTCCAGGGTCCGGACAGCTGTGCACCTGCCACCTTTAGCAAAGCGAAGGCCAGGGGCCCCTGCTGGCCTTCTGCAATGGGCATATATTTTGTCTACCCAGCATTCCTTTCCTTTTTGAGAATAACTCTTCAGGTCAAAGTAGTCACGCCCAGTCTTCCTGGGCAAGAGAAACAGCCCCTCCTTCCCCTTCTTCCTGGGTGAATGTGATGAGGATGACCAATTAGAATAGCCCCACCCCCAAGGCAGGGTAATTGGCTCAGGGCTGGGCATGTGACCCAGACCCAGCCATACTGAGTCCTCCTGGGGTCTTGCCAGAGTTCCTGTGCAATAAACCCACTGTCTGGGACGGTAAGCACGGCACTAGCTCACGATGGCCAGTAGCCACCTGGCTCCCCCTTGAAACGGCCTGTCTGCCGGTGCAGCTAAACAGAGCTGAGAGATGAAGGTGAGTCACCTCATACCCATGGTCAATGGCTGGATCCAGCCGTGCCTGAACGACTGTTTTGATCCCCAGGTGCCAGGCCCACAGAGCTGCCTTTTTGCTTATGCTAGTTTGAATTGGGTCCTTGTCATTTGCCATCCAGAGCCCTGAGTAAGTCACCTGCACTGTGTGGGAAGGTGTGACCGTGCACCACACTTACTAACAGTCATCTTCACAGGCGACCGCGCACCACACTTACTAACAGTCGTCTTCACAGGCGACCGCGCACCACACTTACTAACAGTCGTCTTCACAGGCGACCGTGCACCACACATACTAACAGTCGTCTTCACAGGCGACCGTGCACCACACTTACTAAAAGACATCTTCACAGGCGACCGTGCACCACACATACTAACAGTCGTCTTCACAGGCGACCGCGCACCACACTTGCTAACAGTCGTCTTCACAGGCGACCGCGCACCACACTTGCTAACAGTCGTCTTCACAGGCGACCGCGCACCACACTTGCTAACAGTCGTCTTCACAGACGACCGCGCACCACACTTGCTAACAGTCGTCTTCACAGGCGACCGCGCACCACACATACTAACAGTCGTCTTCACAGGCGACCGCGCACCACACATACTAACAGTCGTCTTCACAGGCGACCGCGCACCACACTTACTAACAGACGTCTTCACAGGCGACCGCGCACCACACTTACTAACAGTCGTCTTCACAGGCGACCGCGCACCACACTTACTAACAGTCGTCTTCACAGGCGACCGCGCACCACACTAACAGTCGTCTTCACAGGCGACCGCGCACCACACTTACTAACAGTCGTCTTCACAGGCGACCGCGCACCACACTTACTAACAGTCGTCTTCACAGGCGACCGCGCACCACACTTACTAACAGACGTCTTCACAGGCGACCGCGCACCACACTTACTAACAGTCGTCTTCACAGGCGACCGCGCACCACACTTACTAACAGTCGTCTTCACAGGCGACCGCGCACCACAGATACTAACAGTCGTCTTCACAGGCGACCATAGACCACACATACTAACAGTCGTCTTCACAGGCGACCGCGCACCACAGATACTAACAGTCGTCTTCACAGGCGACCGTAGACCACACATACTAACAGTCGTCTTCACAGGCGACCACGCACCACACACACTAACAGTCGTCTTCACAGGCGACCGCGCACCACACACACTAACGGACGTGCCCGACATCTTCACAGGCACAGCATGAGCCCTGATGTGCGCTTTCTGCTCCTGCTCCTGCTCCTGCCCCTTCGGAGGCCTGTGCCAGTGGCAGCTGGGCCCGGAGACACCAGGCCGGCACTGCTCTCTTTCGAGGCACCCGTGTTTGTGCCGACGCTGACTCCCGGTTGTCTGCAGCAGCCACGTGGCCGAAATGGAGCCTCTCCACGGGGGCTCCTTCCCCAGCCCCTGGATGGCACAGCAGCCTCTCCTGTCTGTCACCACGTGTGACCTGCTCCCTTAGTCTTCAGCCGCTCATCCACGTCTGCAGGGGCATCTAACTCTGTCCCAGGGTATCCCAGACCCTGGCTCACGCCCCAGGCTCTCCATTCAGGCTCCATCGTCCACCTCAGACCATCTCGGGTTTGCTGGTCTTCTGGACTAGCGCAGCCAGAAAGAACCCAGGAAGGAAGCCTCACGTCTGACACAAGAACCTTCGGTGCTAACCCGAGGGCGGTATGTGCATCCTCAGCACCTGCCCATCCGGCACCATCCTCTGATCCAGGGACTGTGAGCAACAGGGCCCCGTGGCCAGGACATCTCTCACCCTCCAGTTAAAATCTCGCCAGTTGAGTCTGCCCATGAAAGTAGGCGCTGAACTGCCCAATAAATCCACAAGTAAGAGTTGCAAGAAGGAGCCAAAAAGGGCTGAGCTGAATGACTCATATATGAAATAATTTGATAATTAATATAAATAGGAAATTTAAAGTCTCCAGCTGAGTGACAGAAAACACCTTAAAAAGCTCAAGAGAGAGGAAAGGAAGAAAATAAACCTATAATTGCAAAATAAAAGCATTGAAAGAAGCCGTGCTCAAGGTAAGATGCTACAGATGCAATAAATTCATGTTTTAACATTAGCAACGTGTGGGCAACGGTGTTCCCTGGGGAACTGGCTGCATGAAGCCTCTCTGGAGAGCTGGGCCAGGCCAGTGGGAGGGCAGCTGGCACGGCCGGGGCTGGTGCGGGGTCCTGAGGCCAGAACCTGCCGGAGGGCCGTCCCCAAGGACCAACAGGCACGGGAGAGGCAGAATATAAACGCAGTCAGGGAGTAAAGGCTGTGCATTCTCCCCGGGTATTGCCTCCACCACCCCCGGGCCACACTTGGGCCTGCCCAGTTCCCCTAGCTCTTCTCTTTCCTGCCTTGCCTGCCTAAGGCCCCTCTCCCCCTGCACTCCACTCGTATCTGCTTCTCCGCCTCCTGCCCAGTCAGCCTGCTGTGCAGAGCTCCCGCAGCTGCCTCAGATCCACCCTTCCTGGGTGGCTGCTCCTCCCCGCCACCGCCCTAGGAGCACCCCAAGTAAAATCTGGTTTTTCTCCCCTCCAGGTCTGCCTCTGCCTTTGCTCCTGCTATCCCCAGGGCCCCAGGTGCCCCTCCCTCCACCTCATCCTTCTGGACCCAGCAAATGTCCTCCACCAGGAGGCCTTTCTGGACCTCCTCATCCTCCTGGAAGGAGCCTCTCCCACCCCGAAGTCCTTTAACTATTTACTTGTCCCTCTCCTTCGTACTGAGCTTATGCTGTATTTGTTTATGTGCTTATCTTCTACTGGGCTCATCTCTGTAACCTTTTTATTCTTTTATTCATTCATTCCACAAATACTAATTGAGCACCTACTATGTGCCAGACCCCATGCTAGGACTGGGGACACAATGATGAGCAAGACAGACACTGTCCCTGCCACCCTGGAACTCCCATCTTGGAGAGAAACAACAAAAACAAAACACGAAGCAAATAAACATTAGTAAACACGTCAGGATAAGCGGCGATATAGGCTGGGATAGAAAGGTGTAGGTGATGTGAGAGGCGAGTGTCCGTGCGGACAGAGGAGCTGGGGGAGGAGACTCTGAGGCCAGAGGTGTGAGCGGAGTGAGTCGGGCACGCTTTCCAGACACAAAATCGGTGTTTGCTAAACATGCGTGGAACAAATGAGTGGCTAACAAGCCAGAAATCCCAAGCGCGTGCCCCGTGTCGCTCCAGACACAACTTCCCCACCCTCATCACCCTGTGGGTCACTCCGACTGGCACCCAGACGCGTTTCCCAGCCCACACGCCTGCTACAGGGCCCACCTGTGTCACCCTCGCAGAGGCGCTTACCAGGACTCAAGGGGCTCTCCGCTCAGAACCCCTCATGGCCTCCCTGACACCACCAGCGGCCCTCGGGCTGGACAGCAAGCGGGTTTTGTCTCGCCTGCAGACTCCAGCCCCGGAGCACCACGCATGGAAGCGCAGCGAGGCCGCCCCTGGGCTCGGTGGGAAAGAGCCCTGATCGACTGGTGGCGTCTGCCAGGGGACGGCAGAAGACAGAGAGGCACATTTGCCACGTATTTTCCTTGTCACCCAGGGCTCCGCAAATGACCACTCAGGCAAGAAATCTCCTTCAGGTCTAATTGCCTGGACGAGCATTCAGTATCTGGTGCCCTTTCCTTATGGGCCACGTGAACCACGTCACTGATTTTTTTTTCCTGCTTTGACTGCTCATTAGCTCAGAGCTAAATGTGTGGTTCAAACACAGCAAAGTATATACAGCTCGATGGCCTGAATAGGGGGTCTAACTCTCCCCCTGCTTTCAACCTTCTAGCTAATCTACATCTATGTCTTTCCTGATCTTATTTTTTTGATCTCTATTTAGTTACATGTCCATATACATACACACATATATGTATAGACATATATAAACAGACATACATACATATATAAATATAAAATATCTACATATAGGTCTGGTATGTAATACCTACTTTACTTTTTTTCTATGAATGTATCTTTTAGATATATAGATATATTATGAATATATCTTACTTTAAAAAATAGAGACAGGGTCTCACTATGTTGCCCAGGCTTGGCTGAAACTCCTGGACTGAAGCGATCTGCCTGCCCTGCCCCCCACAAAGTGCTGGGATTACAGGCACGAGCCACCATGCCCAGCCATTAACATGTCTTTTTATATTTATTTTTTATATTTCTTCTCCCTTTTTTTTTTTTCAGAGACAGGGTCTCACTATGTTGCCTACGCTGGTCTTGAACTCCTGGGCTCAGGCAATCCTCTTGCCTCAGCTTCCCAAAGTGCTGGGATTACAGGCACGAGCCACTGCACCCAGCCTTTATATTTCTTATATAAATAAAATATATAGAGAGATATACATATATTCTTGTAAGCACCCTCAATTCATTTATGGAACAAGATAGAGGAATAAATGGATAGATGAATAAATGACAGACAGGAAATACCAACGCAGAATGAGACAACTTTGCTCAAAGAATTCAGAATACAGTTAGCTGCATTCTGTCATGAACAGAGTCTGGAGTTAGAGATCAGAAGCCAGGCTCTCAGTCCCAGCTCGGACCAGCTACATGACTGTGAAGGGAAACAAGTTACACACACACACATCCCCGCAAGTCCTTACCCCGGCCAATCTGAGGCTTTATCAATTATTAAATGTCTATCATCTAATCTGCGCTGCTCACTTCCCCTGGTGGTAACAGAAATTACATGGGAGGTTCCTGACAGCGCCGTCAACACCAGCCTCACGCACGACACTGGCCTCATTATTAGCATTGGAGACAACACTCCAGGCAGCCCGCGTTCAACGATAAATAATAAGACACCAAGCCGCACGGCCTCCTACTAAATGCTGCAGGAATTCAAAGAGAAAGGAGCCCTCAGAACCCACATCTGCATTCAGTGTCCTGCCCCTCTGATGTCTGAGAGCAGCGTCTGACTGAAGGACTTGGATCTCTTGCTTCTCCTAGTAAGAAGCAAGTCCCAGCCAGGATCAGTCGCAAAAACCCTCAGGACTGGAAACGGCTGCCCTGGTATGGAGCAAAGGGCTGGGGCTCTGACAGCCCACAGCAGTCCCCTGACCGCACTGTCCCCTGCAGAAAGGCCAGCACAGCACGCATCACCCGTGGGCCAGGTGAAAGAGGACAGGCCAAGGCTGGAAACCGTGGGGCGCTGGGGCAGGTGACCCCTCCGTGTGCCTCCCACATGACCTCACAGACCTGACGCCTGCGTGTGCCTCCCACATGACCTCACAGACCTGACCCCAGCGTGTTCCTCCCACATGACCTCACAGACCTGACCCCAGCGTGTTCCTCCCACATGACCTCACAGACCTGACCCCAGCGTGTTCCTCCCACATGACCTCACAGACCTGACCCCAACGTGTTCCTCCCACATGACCTCACAGACCTGACCCCAGCGTGTTCCTCCCACATGACCTCACAGACCTGACCCCTGCGTGTTCCTCCCACATGACCTCACAGACCTGACCCCTGCGTGTTCCTCCCACATGACCTCACAGACCTGACCCCTGCGTGTTCCTCCCACATGACCTCACAGACCTGACCCCTGCGTGTGCCTCCCACATGACCTCACAGACATCTCCTGTCCCCCATCACAGGCCCATGTACAGTCACCAGGGTTTCCAGGCACCTGAATCCGCACCACTGGGTTTTAAATCACAGGAGAAAGTGAGTCAATGACAATAACAAGAATCCTTTTCAGCAAGTTTGTCAGGCGGCATGGACCGTCCTTTCTTTTCTGGGGGAAGTGACGGAATTCACAAAGCTAGTAAGATTAACACTAAATTCTGGAATGTTCCCTGCCCAGTCAAGTGCTGAAATTGAAGGCAAAAAAAAGGAGGGGTGATACACAGTCGAAGGGCTGAGTTTGCCAATCAGTTCAAGTTGAGAGGTGACAGCGTGCTGGCAGTCCTCAGAGCCCTCGCTTGCTCTCGGCACCTCCCCTGCCTGGGCTCCCACTTTGGTGACACTTGAGGAGCCCTTCGGCCCTCCGCTGCACTGTGGGAGCCCCTTTCTGGGCTGGCCAAGGCTGGAGCCCACTCCCTCAGCTTGCAGGGAGGTGTGGAGGGAGAGGCACCAGTGGGAACCGGGGCTGTGTGCGGCGCTTGCGGGCCAGCTGGAGTTCCGGGTGGGCGTGGGCTTGGCGGGCCCCGCACTCGGAGCAGCGAGTCAGCCCTGCTGGCCCCGGACAATGGGGAACTTAGCACCCGGGCCAGCGGCTGCAGAGGGTGTACTGAGTCCCCCAGCAGTGCCAGCCCACCGGCGCTGCGCTCGATTTCTCGCCGGGCCTTGGCTGCCTTCCCACGGGGCAGGGCTCGGGACCTGCAGCCCGCCATGCCTGAGCCTCCCACCCACTCCATGGGCTCCTGTGCGGCCCGAGCCTCCCCGACGAGCGCCACCCCCTGCTCCACAGCGCCCAGTCCCAACGACCACCCAAGGGCTGAGGAATGCGAGTGCACGGCGCAGGACTGGCAGGCAGCTCCACCTGCAGCCCCGGTGCGGGATCCACTAGGTGAAGCCAGCTGGGCTCCTCAGTCTGGTGGGGAGGTGGAGAGTCTTTATGTCTAGCTCAAGGTTTGTAAACACACCAATCAGCACCCTGTGTTTAGCTCAAGGTTTGTGAATGCACCAATCGACACTCTGTATCTAGCTGCTCTGGTGGGGCCTTGGAGAACCTGTGTGTGGAAACTCTGTATCTAACTAATCTGATGGGGAGTGGAGAACCTTTGTATCTAGCTCAGGGATTGTAAACGCACCAATCAGCACCCTGACAAAACAGGCCGCTTGGCTCTACCAATCAGCAGGATGTAGGTGGGGCCAGATAAGAGAATAAAAGCAGGCTGTCCGAGCCAGCATTGGCAACCAGCTCCGGTCCCCTTCCACACTGTGGAGGCTTTGTTCTTTCACTCTTTGCAATAAGTCTTGCTACTGCTCACTCTTTGGGTCCACGCTGCTTTTATGAGCTGTAACACTCACCGCGAAGATCTGCAGCTTCACTCCTGAGCCCAGCGAGACCACGAACCCACCAGAGGGAAGAAACTCCGAACACATCTGAACATCAGAAGGGACAGACTCCAGACGCGCCACCTGAAGAGCTGTAACACTCACCGCGAGGGTCTGCGGCTTCATTCTTGAAGTCAGTGAGACCAAGAACCCACCAATTCCGGACACAAAGTGACCAAATAGGGTCTCATGTGGTTTATTCCTAGAGGCCGACGGATCCCAGGCAGCAGGTTATCCGAAGAAAATGGGAGGGGACTTTGAATACAGGTAACCTCGCCACACATCAACGATGTCCCTTCCCCTCCATAGCTGACCTCGCCAGCCATCAACGACCTTCCTTCCCTCCCTGGCCTTCCTGTAGCTGTCCAGCCACCTTCAGGGGTGGGCTCCGGAGGCCCTGAGTTTACACTGCGGCCAGTCCCCTGGGGCACAGCTGGCTCTTCCAGGGGAGCACCTAAGCCAAACTGGCACATCAAGGTCCCTCCCTTAAGAATCCGGGAAATAAGGCTGGGTGCGGTGGCTCACTCCTGTAATCACAACACTGCGGGAGGCCGAGGAAGGAGGATTGCTTAGAGGTCAGGAGTTCGAGATCAGCCTGGGCAACATAGTCAAACCCCATTTCTACAAAAAAATAAACATAGGTCAGGCATGGTGGCTCACGCCTGTAATCCCAGTGATTTGGGAGGCTGAGGTGAGAGGATCGTTTGAGTCCGGGAGTTTGGGGCTGCAGCGAGCTATGATCATACCACTGCACTCCAGCCTGCGCAACAGAGCGAGACTCTTTCTTGAAAAATTTAAAAAATAAATTAAATTTTAAAAAAGTAAGGCCAGGAGTAGTGGCCCACACCTGTAATCCTAGCACTTTGGCAGGCTGAGATAGGATCACTTGAGCTCAGGACTTCAAGACGAGCCTGGGCAACACAGTGAGACACAGTAGAGCCTTGTCTACTAAAAATTTAAAAAAAACAGCCGGGGCCGGGCGCGGTGGCTCACGCCTGTAATCCCAGCACTTTGGGAGGCCGAGGCGGGTAGATCATGAGGTCAGGAGATCGAGACCATCCTGGCTAACAAGGTGAAACCCCGTCTCTACTAAAAATACAAAAAATTAGCCGGGCGCGGTGGCGGGCGCCTGTAGTCCCAGCTACTCGGGAGGCTGAGGCAGGAGAATGGCGTGAACCCGGGAAGCGGAGCTTGCAGTGAGCCGAGATTGCGCCACTGCAGTCCGCAGTCCGGCCTGGGCGACAGAGCGAGACTCCGTCTCAAAAAAAAAAAAAAAAAAAAAAAAAACAGCCGGATGTGGTGGTGTGTGGCCGGGTGTGGTGGCGTGTGGCCGGGCGTGGTGGCATGTGGCCGGGCGTGGTGGCATGTGGCCGGGCGTGGTGGCATGTGGCCGGGCGTGGTGGCGTGTGGCCGGGTGTGGTGGCGTGTAGCCAGGTTTGGTGGTGTGTAGCCGGGTATGGTGGTGCACACGTGTGGTCCTAGCTACTCTGGAGACTGAAGCAGGAGAATCACTTTAGCCTGGGAGGTCGAAGCTGCAATGAGTCTCATTCATAGATAGATAGATGGATGGATGGATGGACGGACGGACAGATAGATATACACAGGGATATATACATAGAGTTTCATAGATAGATGACAGATAGACAGACAAAAAGCAAAAAGAATCTGGGAAATGGGGTAAGAGACGGAGTCTCAACTCAACTGCCTTTTGCAGTAAGATGCACACTGAGGCTGAGGCCATTTTCCCCTCATGGAAATGTCCAGTTGACAGAAACGGAAAGGTGGCCTGCAGTGAGACCGAGAAGAGGGGAGCCAACATGGAGCTGAAGCAGGACAGAGAGAGGGGCCCCTCCCTCTAGCATTTGTGCTCCATTCAGCCCCTCCAGGGGCCTGAGCGTTGAAATCTTCCTCAGCTTCTATGAGATACTCCAGGGCCTTGGCAGTAAAGTTCCCTTTTTGTCCAGCCTCTGCTGTTTGCAACCAGCCCCAGTGAGCCGCAAGTCCTAGCTGGCCTGATTAATATCATGTCCACTTTCCCACCACCCTTCCATCCAGCAAAACCACCTCACGCCACGCTGAGCTGACTGAGAATACCTGGGAGTATTCAAATCAGTGGCCGGGGGAGAACAAAGGTTTCGGTGGCAGAGGGACCCAGGTCCGGGTCCATCTAGCACAGTGACCTTGAATAAACCTCCCGAAGCGTAATCTCCTCCATCTGGGCTGCTGCCGATACCTCCTCAAATCCACTCCCGGCCCTCCCTGGTCTCTTCTCCTCACTATCCCCACAGTGAGCTCCCCAAAATGTCAGCCCTTGCCAGGTAACGCGCATTTAAAAAAGAAATAAATAAAAATAAAAAACAAAGCATCAGCCCTGTCACGGAACTGCCAGCCTGAAACTGCCCCAGTGGCTTCCTACTGTTCTGATGATACAAGCGAAATCCTCCCCCCAGGGGCCTGAGGTTTCCTTTCCACGCCGCGCGCTTTCCCCTGGGGGCCAGGAACCCTGATTCTTCTGCCTGGGAAATGCTTCCCCCAACTCTTTCCCCACAACCCCTTTTGCCTAATTAACTCTTTAAAATTCATTTTGTCAACATCATTATTGAGATAGAATTCACAAACCACAAAATGTACCTTTTCAAAGTTTACAATTCGGTGGTTTTTTGGTACAGTCACAGGGTTGTGCCACCATTACCGCTACCTAATTCTAGAACATTTTCATCACTCCACAAAGAAACCCATCAGCAGCCGGGCACAGTGGCTCACGCCTGTAATCCCAGCACTTCAGGAGGCCGAGGCGGAAGGATCACCTGAGGTCAGGAGTTCGAGACCAGCCTGGCCAATATGGTGAAACCCTGTCTCTACTAAAAGTACAAAAAATTAGCCAGGCACGGTGGCGGTCACCTGTAATCCCAGCTACTCGGGAGGCTGAGGCAGGAGAAAGGCGTGAACCCGGGAGGTGGAGCTTGCAGTGAGCCGAGATTGCGCCACTGCGCTCAGCCTGGGTGACAGAGCGAGATGCCATCTCAAAAAAAGAAAGAAAGAAGCCCATTAGCAGCCACTCCCTCCCATTCCTCCCTTCTCCACAGTCCCCAGAAGTCACGAATCTGCTTTCTGTCTTATTAATTTGCATAATCTGGACATTTCATATAAACAGAATCATATAATAAGTGGTATTTTTATTCACGATTTCATTTTTCAGCTCTAATCTCTATTATTTCTTTCCTTTTGCTTGCTTTGGGTTTAGTTTGCTGTTCTTTTTCTAGTTTCTTAAGGTGGAAGATTATTTATTTGAAGTTTTTCTTCTTTTTTAACAGAGGTTCTTACAGCTATACATTTTATAGGTTTTGATAGGTTATATTTTCATTTTCATTCATCTCAACCTACTTTCTAATTTCTCTGTGATTTCTTCTTCTTCTTTTTAGAGACAGGGTCTTGCTATATTGTCCAGGCTGGTCTCAAACTCCCGGACTCAAGCAGCCCTCCTACCTTGGCCTCCCAAAGTGTTGAGATTACAGGCATGAGCCACCGCACCTGGCCTAATTTCTTCTTTGACCCATTGGTGTTTGTTTGTTTGTGTTTGTTTGTTTTGAGACAGAGTCTCACTCTTGTTGCCCAGGCTGGAGTGCAATGCTGTGATCTCAGCTCACTGCAACCTCTGCCTCCTGAGTTCAAGCGATTCTCCTGCCTCAGCCTCCTGAGTAGCTAGGATTACAGGCGCCTGCCACCACACCAGCTAATTTTTTGTATTTTTAATACAGACGGGATTTCACAATGCTGGCCAGGCTGGTTTCGAACTCCTGACCTCAGGTGATCCACCTGCCTCGGCATCCCAAAGTGCTGGGATTGCAGGCGTGAGCCACCATGCCCAGCCAACCCATTGGTTATTTAGGAGTGTGTTCACTTTGGACATTTGTGAATTCCCAAATTTCCTTTATTGATATCTAACTTCATTCTACTACAGTTAGAGAACGTACTTTGTATGACTTGAATCCTTTTAAATTTATTAAGGCCAGGTGCGGTGGTTCATGCCTGTAATCCTAACACTTTGAGAGGCCGAGGCAGGCGGATCGCTTGAGGCCAGGAGTTTGAGACCAGCCTGGCCAACATAGCAAAACCCCATCTCCTCCAAAAATACAAAACTTAGCTGAGCCTGGTGGTGCAAACCTGTAATCCCAGCTACTCAGGAGGCTGAGGCATGAGAATCACTTGCACCCAGGAGGCGGAGGTTGCCAAGATTGCACCGCTGCACTCCAGTCTGGGTAACAGAGAGAGACTTCATCTTAACAAAAATCAGTCAGGCGTGAAGGCACGTATCTGCCGTCTCAGCTACTTCTGGGAACTGAGGTGGGGGACTACCAGAGCCTGGGGGGTTGAGGCTGCAGTGAGCCGTGATCATGCCACTGCACTCCAGCCTGGGAAACAGAGCAAGACCAGAAAAATTACCGAGTCTTGTTTTACGGCCTAACATATGGCCTCTCCCAGAGAACACCTCCCGGGCACGTGAGAAGAACGTGCGTCCTGTGGTTGCTGGGTGGCGTGTTCTGCAGATGTCTGTCCTGCCGGGCACGTGAGAAGAACGTGCATCCTGCAGTTGCTGGGTGGAGAGTTCTGCAGATGTCTGTCCTCCCGGGCACTTGAGAAGAACGTGCATCCTGCGGTTGCTGGGTGGAGAGTTCTGCAGATGTCTGTCCTCCCAGGCACTTGAGAAGAACGTGCATGCTGTGGTTGCTGGGTGGAGAGTTCTGCAGATGTCTGTCCTCCCAGGCACTTGAGAAGAACGTGCATGCTGTGGTTGCTGGGTGGAGAGTTCTGCAGATGTCTGTCCTCCCAGGCATGTGAGAAGAACGTGCATCCTGCAGCTGCTGGGTGGCATGTTCTGCAGGTGTCTGTCCTCCCAGGCATGTGAGAAGAACGTGAATGCTGCGGTTGCTGGGTGGAGAGTTCTGCAGATATCTGTCCTCCCGGGCACGTGAAAAGAACCTGCATCCTGCGATTGCTGGGTGGCGTGTTCTGCAGATGCCTGTCCTCCCGGGCACGTGAGAAGAACGTGCGTCCTGCGGTTGCTGGGTGGAGAGTTCTGCAGATGTCTGTCCTCCCGGGCACGTGAAAAGAACCTGCATCCTGCGATTGCTGGGTGGCATGTTCTGCAGATGCCTGTCCTCCCGGGCACGTGAGAAGAACGTGCGTCCTGCGGTTGCTGGGTGGAGAGTTCTGCAGATGTCTGTCCTCCCGGGCATGTGAGAATGTGCATGCTGCGGTTGCTGGGTGGAGAGTTCTGCAGATGTCTGTCTTCCCGGGCACGTGAAAAGAACCTGCATCCTGCGATTGCTGGGTGGCGTGTTCTGCAGATGTCTGTCCTCCCAGGCACATGAAAAGAACGTGCATCCTGCGGTTGCTGGGTGGCGTGTTCTGCAGATGCCTGTCCTCCCGGGCACGTGAGAAGAACCTGCATCCTGCGGTTGCTGGGTGGAGAGTTCTGCAGATGTCTGTTAGGTCCAGTTGATTTACAGTGTTTTCAAGTCTATCTCATTGTTGGTTCTCTGCCTACTCATTCTATCCATTATTGAAAGTGGGACCTTGAAGCTTCCAACGATTATTGTTGGATTTTGTATTTCTCCCTTCATTTCTGTTGGTTTTGGTTCATGTATTTTGGGGGTCTCTTGTTAGGTGCATACAGCTTTATAATTATTAGGCTTTCCTGATAGGTTGACTCCTTTGTCATTATAAAATGTCCCTGTTTGTCCCTAGTAACAATTTTTGCCTTAAAGCCTATTTTGTCTGCTACTTGTGGAGCCACTTCACCACTCTTTCGGTTACTGCTTGAACGGAATATCTTTTTCTGTCCTTTTACTTTACACACATTTGTGTCTTTGAATCTAAAGTGTGTCTCTTGTAAATCCGTTCTGCCATGCTCTTTTTATTGGAGAATTTAGTTCATTTGTATTTAATGTAATTACAGATAAGATAGGATTTATGCCATTTTGCTAGTTGCTTTCCATATGTCTTGTCTTTTTATTCCTATATTTTCCCATTTCTGCCTTCTTTTGTGTTGAATACGTATTTTCTAGCATAACCCTTAATGCTCCTCTTCCATTTTTTAAAGTTATTTTCTTAATGGTTGCCTTGGAGACTACAATTAACATTTTAATTTAAAACAATCTAACCTGGACTAATACTGACCTAATTGCAATAGTACACAAAACCTTTGCTCCAACATCGCTCTGTCCCCTCCACTCCTTTGTGCTATTATTGTTATACAAATTATATCTTGGTGCATTATAAGCCCATCAACAAAGTTTTAACAAGCATTGCTTTCCGCAGTTATCTTTTCAATCAGACAGAAGAATTACTAGCAGAATATACTCACCCCTTTAGATGCTCCTTGTATCGTCATATGGATTTCAGTCACCGCCTAGTGCCCTTTCATGTCGGCCTGAAGGATTCTCTTTAGGATTTCTTATAGGCCATGCCTGCCAGTGACAAATTCTCTCTGTTTTTATTATATTAATCTAGGATGTCTTAATTTCTCCTTTTTTTTTTTTGAGACGCAGTCTCGCTCTGTCGCCCAGGCTGGAGTGCAGTGGTGCGATCTCGGCTCACTGCAAGCTCCGCCTCCTGGGTTCACACGATTCTCCTGCCTCAGCCTCCTGAGCAGCTGGGACTACAGGCGCCCGCCACCACACCCGGCTAATTTTTTTTTGTATTTTTAGTAGAGACGGGGTTTCACCATGTTTGCCAGGATGGTCTTGATCTCCTGACCTCGTGATCCCCCGGCCTGGGCCTCCCAAAGTGCTGGGATTACAGGCATGAGCCACCACACCCGGCCTCTTTTGAAGGATAGTTTTTTGTGGATATAGAATTCTTTAAAGAATTTTTTAAATTCTTTCAGCACTTTGGCTGTGCCACCCACTGCCTCCTGCTTTCCAGGGCTTCAGATGAGAAGTCAGCTGTGCTATTAATCTTCATGAGTGTTCCCTGCCTCATTAACACTCACCTTCAATTCTGAATTCAACCGTATCTTCCTCCCTGGCCCAGGCCAGGCCCTTTGATACCGGCACCTCGTTCCTCCATAATTCCCCTTTGTAGTGATTATCACAGTTGTAATTAAACAATTAATGATGGACAGAGCTCTTTCCTGTATTTTCCCATCACTAGAATGTAAGTTCCATAAGGCAAGAAGAACCAGGCCTGCCTTGTTCACCATTCTGTTGCCCGAAGCTGCTCAACGCCTGGCACACTATGAACTCTCAATAAATATTTACTGAGCGAACGACTGACACTCATCCTAGAGTAGGCTACATGACTGGTCTCAGCTTCTCACTCCCTGCAGTGGTGTAAACAGCCACACCATGCCAGGGCCTACAAGTAGGCAGTGTACATCCCTGCCCTGTGTTGAGGTTGGCTGTGAGCCTTGTGTTAGCTAATGGGATGTTAGTGAATATGATGTGAAAAAAGGCTGGAAATGTACATGTACGATTGAGCTGGTCCTCACTGTGCTCCTCCTGTCACCATGAGACAGAACAGGCCTTGGGTGGTCTCTGTGCTCCTCCCGTCACCATGAGACAGAACAGGCCTTGGGTGGTCTCTTGTGCTCCTCCCGTCACCATGAGACAGAACAGGCCTTGGGTGGTCTCTTGTGCTCCTCCCGTCACCATGAGACAGAACAGGCCTTGGGTGGTCTCTTGTGCTCCTCCCGTCACCATGAGACAGAACAGGCCTTGGGTGGTCTCTTGTGCTCCTCCTGTCACCATGAGACAGAACAGGCCTTGGGTGGTCTCTTGTGCTCCTCCCGTCACCATGAGACAGAACAGGCCTTGGGTGGTCTCTTGTGCTCCTCCTGTCACCATGAGACAGAACAGGCCTTGGGTGGTCTCTTGTGCTCCTCCTATCACCATGAGACAGAACAGGCCTTGGGTGGTCTCTTGTGCTCCTCCTATCACCATGAGACAGAACAGGCCTTGGGTGGTCTCTGTGCTCCTCCTGTCACCATGAGACAGAACAGGCCTTGGGTGGTCTCTGGTCCAAATGGGATCAGAGACACATGGAACAGACCTAAACCCACTTGGAGCTTGAAGTCAGCCAAGTCCTCCTGCGGGCAGCCTAGGTCAGCCAAACCTCACCCAACTCCGAGCTACGTGAGAGGGAAATAAATGCTCACTGTCATATGCCAGTGGGTTTGGGGCAGCTTGTTGCATCCCAATATGGTGGCAATCGATGGCTAAGACATATGCCCCTGTGAGTCTGAAGGCTGGGAGTGAGTGCTGGCGAAGGTCTTCATGTGGCCCACAATTGGGTCCAGATGAGTTCCATAGGCAGATCCACCAGCCTCCTCTGTACTTACAGAATAAAGTTCCCAGAATCCTACAGTCCCGCAACTCATCTCTGGTGCCAGCAGCTCCTGGAGTAGCCCAGAGTGTACTAAGCGCGGAGTACCATGCCAGGCACACAGTAGGCGCTTTGCTGAGTTAGGCTTTGTCCTTCTCCACCTTCCCCCTCACCAATTCCACCACTGGGCCTGAGTTCATCTGCACAGATGAAAATCTGCAGTTCTTCCTCCGTTGTGGGGCTGGACTGGCGGGGGCAGGGGGAGGCACCCTCACCTGTCCCAGGAGCTAACCCTGCTTACTGCCTCAATGACACCCAGACTCAAGTGACGAGGCGAGCCTGGGCCCTGGACACCAGGTCTGTGCAAAGTGAGGTCACCCCGCAGGTGAGTCCTGGCTGCCCCCTTGGCCTGTCCTTTCTACTCTGACTTGGAGCATGACCCTGATGGAAATTTTCAGTTCCGTAAAGGAAATTTTGATTCGATATAGGGCCTTTTTACTCCCAAGTTTCCCCCTTTGCTAAATTAGTTCCCAATCCCTCTGCCAAGGGTGACTCTGTTCACCCTCTGATGCTGAAACCTGAAGAGGGGTTTGTGAGGAGTCTGAGGCCAGCCCAGCCCTCACGGTGCTTCTGTGCAGGATCAGAAGAGGTGCCCCTCATGGCGGCACTTGTCTTCCACCTGGTTAAAAAGCACCATAATAAACCAATAATGTTAATTCCATTCATTAGAAAGTTACCAACAAACCACACAAAAAGCTCCTTCTAGGCAGACCCACCACATCCAGAACTACCTGCAGCTCTCGCCGAGCAAGACGCTCAAAGCAGTTACCTCCTCAGCAGTATCCCCACGATAGACCGCTGTGGTCTGAATGTTTGCGACCCGCGAAAGCTCCCGTATTGAAACCCTAACACCCCAAGGCATGAGGAGGCGGGGCCTTTAGGAGGTGATTAGGTCGTATGGGCAAGGTCCTCATAAATGGGATTAGTGTTCTTGTAAAAGGGGCTTTTCTACCCCTTAAGATTAAGGTGTTATAAAACCCAAAGGGAGGGACTCAAACCACTGTTGCCAAATGATGACTGAGACAGTGTTAGATCTAACTTGACCGACTCCGTCTTGCTCCTAACCTCCAAGCTGCCCTTGTTCATTCCTGGGCGTAGGCTGAACTAACTTTAGGAGAAACTTAGTTTATAGTTTATAGTTTAAACAAAGACGGTAACAGCCCTTTCCCAAAGCAGACCTCCTTCTTCCCCGGGGACTAGTCTGCCTTTGTAGGACTAACTTTAGCCCCAAGATTAGAAATTATGGTTTAGCAGTCATGCAGCTGGAGGCTACAAGATTCTGACCCTCCCTAGCTGCTCCTAAGATCAGCGCTTGAGATATTTTGGAAACCCTGCACTTGATGGATCAGCTGGCACCACCCAGATCAATAAACTGGCTCATCTGATCTTGAGGTCCCCACCCAGGAACTGACCGAGCACAAGAAGACAGCTTTGACTTGCTGTGATTTCATCTCTGACCAATCAGCACTCCTGGCTCACTGGCTTCCCCCACCCACCACGTTATCCTTAAAAGCTCTGATCCCTGCATGCTCGGGGAGACTGATTGGAGTAATAATAAAACTCCGGTCTCCCACAAAAAAATAAATAAACAAAAGAGGCTTTTAAGGAAGCCCGTTGGCCCCTCCTGCCATGTGAGGACACAGAAAGAAAGCACCATCTATGAACCAGGAAATGGGCCCTGAGCAGACACAGAATCTGCCCACACCTTGATCTTGAACTTCCCAGCTTCCAAACCGTCAGAAATAAATGTCTGTTGTCTATAAGCCACCCGGATGATGATATTTTCATACAGCAGTCTGAATGGGCTAAGAGACTTCATAGCAAAGAACCATGTCTTGTTTCTGCTCAGCTCACGTCGGAAGTAGAAGGTCATAACAAGCCAGATGGTGTGAGAAAGGTCTTCATGTCCAGATGGGCATCACTGGACCCCGAGAAGTGGTTTCTGCAAATGAGGGAAGCCCCCAGCAGGATTGGAAGTGGCAGGTAAAGAAAGGTCACTGCAGGAATCAGCTCTCAAAACAGGCGGTGGTGGTGGGGAGGGGAGGGGCGAACGCTGGGAAAATACAGGCAACTGAGCGGCTGCTTCGAGACCCAGCCTGGACGGATTTGGGGTTAGAGATAGTTTCACATTCATCTGTGAACCTCACCCATGGCACCTTCTCCTTAATCAGATGCTCCCCAGACCCTGACATTAACAAGGACATGAGCTGTCAGAATTCAGAGACCGGTTGAAATTGGGCCATTTCTTATCACTAATCTGTGTGATTGGATGACATTGAAAAAAGAAACCAGAAGAGAATTCATTTCCTTTTTCATTTTTAAACGAGGCCCCACTTAGAGCAGAAGAGTTTAGGTGTTGGGCCTTCTTAAGCAAACAGTCCTCAAGGGATGGTCTGCACCAAACACCCCCTCACCTAATCCCTGACACTCTACATCAAGGAGCAAGAGGAATGAACCTGGTTTCCAAAAATTAAGTCCAGAAAAGAACATGCATTCCTACATCTCACCTTCTAAATTAAGCCAGTGTTCTCCATTAACGTCCCACTGGGGACTGAGAGAAAATTGTTTCAAAACTGGGAACTAAATTTAAAGTTAGGAAGAAAAAAAAAATAACACTTTACGAGTCCCAAATGTTTGAAGTAGTTTGTTACAAACTTTCAAGTCAGATCTAAAGTGACTGCCTGTTTGAGAGTTCACATTGTCAGCCCAGGAATCCAACTGTCCAAATGGGGTCATGTACAAACTCAGGGATTGGTTAAAGGTCAATTACACCCTCAGTTTTAGCAATACAAGGGGTATACTCCACTAAAGTTTTGGTTCTCGTAGTTGGCTGCGCACACTGTATCCACTGGGGTTGTAAGCAACAGAAATCAAGTCTGCACGACTTAAGCAGAAAGGAATGTACTGGCAGAATACCTTGGGGATACCTCGTAGCTCAGAACCAATCAGAAGGCTGAAGACCCTGATGGAAACTGCAACAGTCTAAGGCCTTCAAGTCCCATCACCTTCCACTATGGAAGTAGTGGCTCCAAAATCCTTTCTCCCCTTGCTTCACTCTGCCAAGTTTCAGATCCCGGAGTGGACAGCCCAGCAAAGTAGCCTGGCGTGGGCCCAGGTCCCATCCCTTGAGCTGGGTGATGACTACATGGGGTGTGTCCACCTTGTGAAAATGCAGAATACTTCTGATGCATGCAGTTTTCTGAAGAGATGCTACGCTTCCTTTTTTTTTTTTCCTTTTGAGACAGGGTTTTGCTCTGTCACCCAAGCTGAAGTGCAGTGGGACAAGGGTCACTGTAGCCTTGACCTCCCACCTCAGCCTCCCAAGTAGCTGGGACTACATGTGCATGCTACCACACCTGGCTAATTTTTCTATTTTTTTAGAGATGGGTTTTTGCCATGCTGCCCAGGCTAGTCTCAAACTCCTGGGCTCAAGCAATCCACCCACCTCAGCCTCCCAAAGTGCTGGGATTACAGGCGTGAGCCACCATGCCAGGCACTATGCTTCAATTTTTTAAGAAAAAACGTTCACCTATCCCATGACCGAGCAATTCCACTCTTAGGAAAAGTAAAACAGGTAAGAGGGCCAGGTGCAATGGCTCACACCTGTAATCCCCAGCACTTTGGGAGGCGAGGCGGGCGGATCACAAGGTCAGGAGATTGAGACCATCCTGGCTAACACAGTGAAACCCCATCTCTACTAAAAATATAAAAAATTAGCTGGGTGTGGTGGCGGGTGCCTGTAATCCCAGCTACTCGGGAGGCTGAGGCAGGAGAATGGCGTGAACCCGGGAGGTAGAGTTTGCAGTGAGCCAAGATCGCGCCACTGCACTCCAGCCTGGGCAACAGAGCGAGACTCCGTATCAAAAAACAAACAAACAAACAAAAAAAACAGGTAAGAGAAACAAAGTATATGACGGGAATGAAAAACAAGGTCAACATGAATACTTATGGCCACTCCATTGATAATAGCCAAAAATGAACACAGCCCAGAGGTCCATCACCAGGTGAATAGATAAGCAACTTATACATACTCATAGCAAGGAATACTGCTGACCAAAAGGAAGCAACTACCGACCCAAACAACAACTGGGGTGAATCTCAACAACGTCATGCCAAATGAGAGCGAGAGACGCCTTTCACAAAAGAACACACGTTGTATGATCCCATTTACATGAAGTTCCAGTACAGGTAAAATTAACCTATGGTAGCTGGGTGCAGTGGCTCATGCCTGTAATCCCAGCACTTTGAGAGGCTGAGGCTGGAAGATCACCTGGGGTCAGGAGTTCAAGACCAGCCTGGCCAACATGGTGAAACCCAGTCTCTACTAAAAATAGAAAAATCAGCTGGGTGTGGTGGCACACGCCTGTAATCCCAGCTACTCGGGAGGCTGAGGCGGGAGAATCACTTGAACCCAGGAGGCGGAGGTTGTAGTGAGCAGAGATCGCACCATTGCACTCCAGCCTGGGCAACAAGAGTAAAGCTCTGTCTCAAAAAAAAAAAAAAAAAAAATTAATCTCTGGTGAAAAAACTCCAAAGAGTGGCTGACTGCAGGGGGAGTGGGACAGGGATTGACGGGGACGGGGTGTGAGAGTGACTGACTGCAGGGGGAGTGGGACAGGGATTGACGGGGATGGGGTGTGAGAGTGGCTGACTGCGGGGGGAGTGGGACAGGGATTGACGGGGACGGGGTGTGAGAGTGACTGACTGCAGGGGAAGTGGGACAGGGATTGACGGGGACGGGGCGTGAGAGTGACTGACTGCAGGGGAAGTGGGACAGGGATTGACGGGGACGGGGTGTGAGAGTGGCTGACTGCGGGGGGAGTGGGACAGGGATTGACGGGGACGGGGTGTGAGAGTGACTGACTGCAGGGGAAGTGGGACAGGGATTGACGGGGACGGGGCGTGAGAGTGGCTGACTGCGGGGGGAGTGGGACAGGGATTGACGGGGACGGGGTGTGAGAGAATGCTCTGGGACAGTGGTCACGTTCTCTATTTTGATAGCAGCCTGGGTTGCACAAGCCTGCGTGTTTATCTGAGCTCATCAGATGGAGCAGGTAAGATTTGTGTATTTCGTTGCATGCATGTTTTACCATGGAAGAAAAATACCATAAACAACTACTGAACTTTAGTTCATGGTAAGCTTACTGAAGCATTTGACTATTTTGTTCAAAAGATGCATTAAGATAGATAAAAAGCAAGCCACAAACTGAGAGACATATTTGCAGCATAATAGACATCTGATTAGTACCAGTACGCGGACATACGGAGATCTCCTACAAATCAATAATAATCTAAAAGGGAAAAAATGGGTAAAGAAAAGTGCAGTGTGCAGATGAGCTAATACTTCAAGTCAGTTAGGGAAAGAGAAGGATACCTCAAATCTAGTAACACCAGTTCCTGGACCCGAAAGGCTGAGGGATAAAGGAGGAGGAAGACTCTCACCATTTGCCTTTTTACACCTTTAGAATTTTAAATGACATGATTTTTTTTTTTTTTTGAGACAGAGTCTCGCTCTGTTGCCAATGCTGGGGAGCAGTGGTGCAATCTTGCTCACTGAAACCTCTGCCTCCCAGGCTCAAGCAATTCTCTTGCCTCAGCCTCCAGAGTATCTGGGATGACAGGTGCCAGCCACCACACCCAGCTAATTTTTGTATTTTTAGTAGAGATGGGGTTTAGTAGAGATGGGGATGACCATGTTGGCCAGGCTGGTATTGGACTCCTGACCTCAGGTGATCCACCCGCCTCGGCCTCCCAAAGTGCTGGGATGACAGGCGTAAGCCACTGCACCCGGCCCCTTAAATGACATGCTCATAATGTATCTTCCAAAAATAAATTAAATTTAAGTTTAAAATACAGCTTGTGGGCAAAGAAAGTGAACTGAAATAATAGGTCAACAATTTGGAAAGAAAGAAAATCGAGGTCTTCCCTTCCATCACAAAACAAAATAAATTTTGATTGGATTAGCATTGAAAGTCAAAGAGAGCTGAATGGAAAGGCTGAAACCAAAAAAGAACCTGAAGAAAATATAGAACTGAACATTTATCTGAACTTGGGGTGAGGAAAACGTTTCAAACCCCAAAACAGAGGGTTTTTGAAAAATCATAAGATGAAAAGACTGATGGACTTAATGAAATGCATTAGTCAGTTCAGGCTGCCATGAAATATGCAGACAGGGCGGCTTACACAGCTGGCATTTCTTCTCACAGTCCTGGAGGCTGGGGAGTCCAAGATCAAGGTGCCAGCTGGCTCCGATTATGGCGAGGCCTCTCCTCCTGGCTTGTGGACATGGTGAGGGCCCAGGGGAAGGGAGAGACAGAGACAGAGAGAGTGGGGAGAAGAGGGGGAGAGAGAGAGCAAGAGAGAGAGAGAAGGAGAGAGAAAGAGAGAGGGAGAGAGAGATTGAGAAAAGGAGAGAGAGACAGAGATTGAGAAAGAGAAAGAGAGATTGACAAAGGGAGAGAGAGGCGAGGCGCAGTGTCTCGTGCCTGTAATCCTAGCACTTTGGGAGGCCGAGGTGGGAGGGTTGCCTGAGCCCAGGAGATGGAGACCAGCCTGGGCAACACAGCAAAACCCCATCTCTGTTATAAAACATTTTTTTTCAGTTTAAAAAGAGAGAGAGAGAGAGAGATTGACAAAGAGAGAGGTTGAGAAAGAGAGAGTGGGGAGAGGGGAGGGGGATGGGGAAGGGGAGGGAGAGCGCTCTCCAGCATCTGTGTTTATACGGACACTAACGTATTGCATCAGGGCCCCACCTTTCTGACCTCATTTAACCTTAATTACTTCCTGACTCCACACACAGCTGCACTAGGGGTGAACGCCACAACCCAGGAATACTGGGGAACACAAACGTTCAGTCTGTATTACCACATAAACATTTAAACCTTCTCTATGTTTAAAAATAATCGTAATACTTGGTATGCAACAAGATCTTTAAAAAGAGAAAAATAACCAAAGAAAAATGCCAAAAGGAGGGGAAAAATGTTTGTTACATATGTCAGTCAATATAGAGAAATCAACGCAGGTTACCAAATCATGTCTACAGTATCATCTCCATTTTTAAGCAGTAAACACTGGCTATCTCTGGAGGTTGGGAATCACGGATTTTTATTTTCCTCTTTGTGCTTTCTGCATTTTCTAAATTTTCCACAATGAACATGAATTACTTTTATAATTTAAAAAAAAAGACTTTTTTTTTAAAGAACTCTTATGTGAAAGTCAAGCAACATCCAGGCGGACAGTCCAGTTCTGCACAGACTTTAGGGGATGGCTGGTGAGCCTGGCAGAGCGTGAGCAAGGAGCCGGCACCACAGACCCGGGAGGCCATGGGCTGTATTACCCTATAGACAACAGGAAACCCTGGAGGTGCCCAGAGGAGGAGGGCACAAGAGGGAACGTAAACCAATGAAACTCTTGCCCCATGGAAAAGGGAAGGTGTAGGCTCCAGAGGGACAACAAAGGCAGATTTCAGCTCAAAAGAGGGAAGAATTTCCACCTTCTGAGCTGCCCCTGAATGCAAAGCATTATGCAGTGAAGCTCTCTGTCTCAGTCCACCTAGGACTCAGGGACCAATGGAGCAAAGAATCTCCACTCAGGAAGGGGTTTAGACTAGACATCACTTTTTTTTTTTTTTTTTTTTGAGACAGAGTCTTGCCCTGTCGCCCAGCCTGGAGTGCAGTGGCTCAATCTCAGCTCATGGCAACCTCCACCTCCCGGGTTCAAGTGATTCTCCTGCCTCAGCCTCCCAAGTAGCTAGGATTACAAGCGTGTGTTGCCACACCTGGCTAATTTTTACATGTTTAGTAGAGATGGGGTTTCACCATGTTGCCCAGGCTGGTCTTGAACTCCTAACCTCAGGTGATCTGCCCACCTTGTCATTCATGTTCTTATATAAAGTTCTAATTCCTTTTCAACGTTGCGCAGTAGCCCAAGGTATGAAAATACAAGTCTACGGAGCTGTCTCACCACGAACAAACATTCAGACTGTGTACGATCTTTCACCACCACAGACCGTCACAAAGGCTGTCCCAGAAGTTGTCACCTGTGCACAGGTGCCAGCATTTCTTTAGGGTAGATCCTGAGAAGTAGAATCACTGAATCACTATGTCACAGGGCAGCTGCATTTATTTTAACAGTTCTCACCAAACTGCATCCACCATGATGTTCCTTTCCAAGCCTCGGATCCCAGAGATTTACAGACCCCATCTCTATGATATGTCTCCTTGTCGGCTTCAGCCAGGCATTCATACCTCCCTGGGATACTCCAGGCCTCAGTGCAGCTCTGTGGCTCCTCCTTACTATGAAAACCATCACCCACCCCGAGACAGGCTGCCGACATCATCGGCAGCCTTGGAGCACAGCCCAAATGGTCGCCCATCCGGCTACTGGTGGAGAAGACTCTTGGATGAGGAAGGCAGGCCTCCTAACTCTGAGATGCTGCACCTCTGTCAGTCAGGGGGTACTCCATCACTCCATCCATGAGTGAGAAGGAGGGGCTGGGCAAGAGGAGACTAAATCCTGGCGTCACTCAACGGCTTGGATGGGCCAGAACCAAAGATGAAAATGCACCAACATGTAAATTTAGCCATGAGCACAGCTGGGTGATGGAGACAGGACCGGATCGTCAGTATCCAACACGCAACTGATTAAGTGTCCATGGTAAAATAAGTGCTCTTACACGAGGTGCTAACGACGTAATTGCGGTCTTACATAAGGTGCTCTGGTATTTTCAGCAGCAGATAACTGCCATGTGAATGGAGAAGCCGCCCTCCCAATGAATGCTGCTTACTGTACAGGCTGGCACAGGCCTTGAAATGCCAGTGCTTTGCAGGCAGCCAGCTGCTGTCAGAGGGGTGAGGATGTCTGTGCCCGGGGCTGCAGCTCCGCTCGTGTTCTGCAATTTCTACAGGCTGGCCGGACTCCCCACAGCCAGCTGGGGGTACACACATCACCGTGCTTACACCCCCAAGCATCCCAAAAGCAAGGAAAAGGGCCACTTCAGGGGCTCTCCCAACCCAAGCAGCCACCTTGTAGCTAAGAGAGCTCTCCCCAGACCCAGCAGGGTGGAGGTAGACAGGAAGAAACCAGAGCCAGCCCGGGCTCAGCTGCCTCGTTCCCAGAGCTGACCCCTCCGGAGCCTAGGTGCTCACCCTCATGTCACCTCCCACCTGTCACGAGAAACCCAAGGCTGCAGGTACAGTGAAGTCAAAGTGGCCTCTTGGAATGGTGTGTCTGTATTCACGTCCCGGGTTTAGGATCCCTGCAGCCTTTTTTCCTGTTTCGCTCCATTGTATTAAGTCTAACACATACACAGAGGAGTACACACATGGAACGGGTAAGCGTTGGCATTGATGGAAAGAACGCAGCCCTCTGACTGACACCCCATTAAAGGAACCAGGCAGTACCAGCCTCCCGGAAGCCCTTCTCATCCCTCCCGGAAGCCCTCCTCATGCTTCCCGGAAGCCCTCCTCATCCCTCCCGGAAGCCCTCCTCATGCTTCCCGGAAGCCCTCCTCATCCCTCCCGGAAGCCCTCCTCATCCCTCCCAGAAGCCCTCCTCATCCCTCCCAGAAGCCCTCCTCATCCCTCCCGGAAGCCCCCCTCATGCTTCCCGGAAGCCCCCCTCATCCCTCCCGGAAGCCCTCCTCATCCCTCCCGGAAGCCCCCCTCATGCTTCCCGGAAGCCCCCCTCATCCCTCCCGGAAGCCCTCCTCATCCCTCCCGGAAGCCGTCCTCATCCCTCCCGGAAGCCCCCCTCATCCCTCCCGGAAGCCCTCCTCATCCCTCCCGGAAGCCCTCATCCTTCCTGGAAGCCCTCCTCATGCTTCCCGGATGCCCTCCACATCCCTCCCGGAAGCCCTCCACATCCCTCCCGGAAGCCGTCCTCATCCCTCCCGGAAGCCCCCCTCATGCTTCCCGGAAGCCCCCCCTCATCCCTCCCGGAAGCCCTCCTCATCCCTCCCGGAAGCCCCCCACATCCCTCCCGGAAGCCCTCCTCATCCCTCCCGGAAGCCCTCCTCATGCCTCCCGGAAGCCTCCCCCCACATCCCTCCCGGAAGCCCTCCTCATGCTTCCCGGAAGCCCTCCTCATCCCTCCCGGAAGTCCTCATCCCTCCCGGAAGCCCTCCTCATGCTTCCCGGATGCCCTCCACATCCCTCCCGGAAGCCCTCCACATCCCTCCCGGAAGCCGTCCTCATCCCTCCCGGAAGCCCTCCTCATCCCTCCCGGAAGCCCTCCTCATGCCTCCCGGAAGCCCCCCACATCCCTCCCAGAAGCCCTCCTCATCCCTCCCGGAAGCCCCCCCCCCACATCCCTCCCGGAAGCCCTCCTCATGCTTCCCGGAACCCCTCCTCATCCCTCCCGGAAGCCCCCCTCATGCCTCCCGGAAGCCCCCCACATCCCTCCCGGAAGCCCTCCTCATCCCTCCCGGAAGCCCCCCACATCCCTCCCAGAAGCCCTGCTCATCCCTCCCGGAAGCCCCCCCCCCCACATCCCTCCCGGAAGCCCTCCTCATGCTTCCCGGAAGCCCTCCTCATCCCTCCCGGAAGCCCTCCTCATCCCTCCCGGAAGCCGTCCTCATGCCTCCCGGAAGCCCTCCTCATCGCTCCCAGAAGCCCTCCTCATACCTCCCGGAAACCACGACCCCCACTTCCAACACCGTCCGTGCATTTGGCCCTTTTGGCACTTTATAGACGTGGAATCAGGCAGGACATGCTCCTTTCTGTCTCGTTCCTTTTACTCGACATTGTGTTTGTGTGATTCATCCACGTATGCTGTGTGGTCAGATTGTTCCTTCTCACCACAGTGGGGTGCTCCATTGTCTGCCTTCACCCCAGTTTATGTGTCCATTCTACTGCTGATAAACATTGTAGGATTTCCCTGGGGGGTGGATTTGGCTATTACAAATAGTGCTGCTATGAACATTCTAGTATATGCCTTTTCACTGCAACCCATCCTAAAATATACATCATTGAAAACTACTGCTTTAAGCCTCAAATCTTGGGAAAGCCAATGTGCCCCACCTCTCCAATTTACCCTTTCATTCTTTAAACATGGTCCTTCCACTGTCTACAGAGCACCATGTAAAGGGTATTGGCCATCTCCTTGAAGTCTGGGTAATAAAAAGATGAAAAAAAAATTTTTTAAAGACTATTGGCCAAAGGAGTCAGACTTTCTAGGACTAAAGTTCCCTCCTTGCTGTGTGTCTTTGGACAAACACTCAACCTCTCTGTGCAGCAGTTTTCTTACCTGTAACATGGGAATAGTACTCTAACATCATTTGGCTGAGGTTTAAACAAGGGAGCAGCATCTGCACAAGGTGAGCACTCATCAGTGTTCATAGCAATGATTCCTGCTGAAGGTATCCTGTCTTTCTCAACACCCCTGCAGTACCCTGCTCTGGGCGTCCCCTGCCCGGATATCTGTGAGCAACGTCCTCAAAGAAAAGGAGATCGCAACTGAGGACAAGCAACTCTACCATCTCCAGCTAGAGCTGAGCTCCACCAGCAAGCCCTCCCTTCCACGCCAGATCACTCCTGTCCCTCAGCCTCTCCAGGCATCAGAGATGTGTGGCGGCCGCAGCTACTGTCCTTTCATGCATGAGGCACTGGATGTCACTCAAAATGGGACCTCGACCACAGTGACTTTGCTGGGGTCATTATTAATGGTGTGCCAGCGGCCTGATGACAACCTGCTGGGGCACCCAAAGTACCCAAAAATCACTGCCTGGGAAAAAAATGTTTTTAAATGTTGATGCAAAAGAAGAGTGAACTGGAGTATTTTGTTTTTTTAGATGACAAAGACGGAAGAAATCCCCTCAAAGCATACAGTGCAAGAGGCCCAGGAGCAGGAGATTCCAGCCTTGCAAGACCGGTTGCCATGGTAACCGTGTTTCACAGCAGGAGTTCGTTTTCATATGACAGTGACCTGCACAGAGAAGGGAAGGACGGAAGGACGTCTCCTAAAGAAACTTAGTTGAAGGCTTTCCCATTTGGGGTGAGGGGAGTTAGTTTTGTTTACAAAAAAAGGGCATTTTAAGGTGCCTTAAGAGGCAGAAATGATCCCAGGGCCCTTGCAAGGTTCTCTCTATTCACAACTCTTACTTAAGGCAAGACAGAAAAACACGGCCTGTTTCCAAGGCCTCCTGGGGCTGATGTCATAGCCTCCCTGGATCACTGGTCCCATCATTAACCATCTGTTTGTTACAAAGTCCTTTCCTGGAGTCCAGCAGAGTCCCAAGCAAGCAAGCAACCAACCGAGCCACCAGGAAGTCCTGCACACCTGGGCCAGGGGCTGAGAAGACATGGAAATGTAACACACACTCCCTGGACTGAAAAACACGCCTTCCTGGACAAACGGCAAATCCTAGCATCTAAAAACAGCCTTAGGAGTCAGACAGACTTGAGTTCCAGCCTCCACCTTGGCCACCTATATGCTGTGTGATTTAGGAAGGTCTCTGGCCCTCTCTGTGTCCTTATGAACAGAATGAGGACAATAATCCTAATGCTTACCCCTCTGGATGTTTCTAAGATAAAGGAAAACGAGGGACTACCTGGAATGATTAGCACACTGCCCGGCACGGGACAACCCACTCAACAAACAGCTGCAATGATTAAGAGCTGGAAAAGTATATCTCGCACTCATGATACAGTGGGAGGCTAATAGCAGAGAACAAAATACTAAACCGTGTGGGACAACCTGCAACGGATCCATCAACAAGCCCAGCAGGAACGCAGATGGACTGGACGAACGGAACCGTCCAGGAGGGAGGTGGTGCTTGAACTGAACTCTCAATTGTATTAAGGATGCTGGGGAGGTGTTCTTGGAGGCCTGAGGGTGGGAATGCCTCCATTGAGTGCTTGCAGGGCGCCCAGTCCTGGAGAGCCAGAGAGAAGGGGAACAAGCTTCCCGCTGCCATCAGGGACAGAAGGGGATGTGAGATCAGCCGACAGCTGCAGCTGGTGGCCTGAGGGCATCGTGGAGTGGGAAGGGTCCCCGGTGCAGCCAGGGAGGTGAGCAAAGCCAGGGAAGGGTCCCCGGTGCAGCCAGGGAGGTGAGCAAAGCTTTTCCAAGGAAACTGCACCTGAGCCAAGTCCCAGAGGGTAGGGGCGAGAGGGCCCAACCAGGGGCAGGAGGCAAGAAGCTTCAGGATTGGAAATTAGTTTGAGAGAATGAGGCCACGTGACTGAGGGCCTTCAAATGCAGGCAGGGGAGCTGAGCTTTGCCCAGGAGGACATATGGAGCCTCTGAAGATATCTCGGTGGGGCGGGGGTCGGTGACAGGGTGAAACGAACCATCATTCTAGAAGGGACATGCCGGATGGATTGCCACATGGGGCTGGAGGGGGTTCCCACAGGAGAGAGAACAGCTAAGAGGCCTCTGTACTCTGGACTGAGATGTTCAAGGCCTGTAGGAATCCATCACAAAGGAGAGGGGAGAGGCAGACACATTTTGGAGACCAGTGTAAATGACAGAGAATGAGGGAAACCCACCAGCGGGAAGTGAGTGAGGGCAGCTGCCTGGGAGGAGACCAGTCGGGTGCGCTGAGTTTGCGGTGACACCGTGGCACCCAGAGAGCAAGACAGGGTGGGCTGGAAGTCAGAGGGGGCATTCCCAGAGGACTCCTGGAGCCAGCCCCGTGAGAAGTACAACACAGGGCCTGGGAAAACAGTCCCAGGAAAGAGGGAAAAAGGCTCAGCAAAGGAGAAGGAACCAGGAGAGAGGCATGCCCAGAAGTGACGGCGGGGAGGCTGCAAGCTGGACACCAGCGCGCAGGGGTCCGCTTCCCGGGGAGAGCGACCGAGGCACCACAGAAGAGGCGTGTTTGGAAACAAAACGACTTTTGGGTTTAGAAGTTTCAGCAAAGTGGCCACCAGCAGCCAGGCTGCAGAGGATGGAGGGGGGCGGCTGGCGGGGAGGGGGCGGCTGGAGGGGAGGGGGCAGCAGGTGCCGAGCTCTTGTGGGAAAACGTGACAGAGAAAAGAGGAAACAAGCTGACGGCTCCGATGCCGGGTTTTGTGTTTTTCAGGAGATGGGAGATGGGAGGCCGAGGGGATGTCAGAGACGCGGAGTGGGGGTGGGGCTGGGGGCTGGAGGCGGCCCGGGGCGCGATCTCCCCCGGTGTCGGGCGGGGCGGGGCGGGGACGGGACTGCAGTCCTGGCTCTACCCACGCGCCCACCAGGGTCTGCAGGGGCGTCCCCAGGGCTCCCCCTGCCCTCAGGCTGCCGGGAGGGTCAAAGGTGCGCGCTGCACAGATGTAGGGTGACAGTGACCATTCCCCGGAATCTCCGTGGCTCTGATCTCCCCGGGGACGGGTCTCCACCTGCAGCAAGACGCCTCCCCGCAGGACGACCCCCAAGGTGTTACGGACCCAGGCGACCCTGGGGTCGCTCTGCCCTCTGAGCAGCCGGGCAGGAGGCACAAGCCCCAGCGCCCCCGGCAGAGGCCTCCGTGCGGCGCAGGAAAGGAAAGGCGGCTCCACGGCGGGCCCAGAGCCGTCGTCCCGAGCAGTGAGGCGCCTGGGACGGATGGAAGCGCTTCCCCGACGCCTCCGCCCGACTCCGGGAAGCGGCTTTGGGAGGGCTGGAAGCCAACCCCGCGGGACTCAGGCTGGAAGGGATGGGCGGGGCGAGTGGAGGCGTCGTCGGTCTCGGCTGTGAGAAGGGCCCCCCAAATCCTGCACGCACGACCCCCCTTCCGACCACCCAGCCGCGGGCGAAAGCCCAAGTGTGCAGGGCCCGGGGCCCCCACGGGGGCCCCCAGTCTCGTGGGGCGTCGGGTCCACGCCGCAGGCGAGGCCAGGTGCAGAGGGGCGGCAGCCTGGACCCCCGGGCCCCTCCCCGCACGTGCGCGCCGGGGCGGGCGCTGGGAAACGCCGCGCTGTGGACTCGCTCCCCGGAACTCACCCGGCGCCGCCCTCCCCCACCCCCCGCCGCGTCCCCGCCCCCCCCCACCCGCACCCCGAGCTGGGGGCACCACAGGGTCCCCGAGGGTCCCCGAGGTCGGGGCGGAGCGCAGGCCGTTCGGAGCGGGGGGCTCCGGGCCCGGGCGCTGCTCGGGGGAGTCGGGTGCAGCCCAGGCTCCGGCCGCCGGCGGGAGGAAACCCAGCTCCAGGCCCTGCCCGCGCCCCGCCGGCCCCGGAACCGCCCCCGCCCGGGGCGCCAAGAGCTCCCAGGTCCCCGCCGCCTCCCTGTGCGCCCCGCCGGCCCCGCCGCTGAGCCGCGCGCACCCCCCGCCCTCGGACTGGGCCCCGGACCCGGGGCGGCCCCGCTTCCCCCCCGGACTCACCCGGGGTTCGGCCCCGCAGCCCGCGCGCTCCCTCGCTGCCCTCTGGCGGCAAAACCGTGAAACCGGCGCCCGCCCCGCCCCGCCCCGCTGGGACCTGTGGCCGCAGAGCCCGGGCCGGAGGGCACCTGCTGGGCGGCCTCTGGATGGTGACCTCGCCGCGGGGCGGGTCCCCACGGTCTCGCTGGACGGCAGGGGCGCGGCTCACTGCAGCCTCCGCCTCCTGGGCTCCAGCGACCCTTTCACCCCAGCCTCCCCGGCAGTCGGGACCGCAGGCACCGCTCCCACGCCCGGCCAATTTTTGTATGTTTTGTAGAGACGAGGTCCCACTGTGTTACCCAGGCTGGTCTCGAACTCCAAGCCTCAGTTTCTTTATGTGCAAAACAGAGACAACAATAGTCCTGTTGTGATGACTGAATGAGGTCGTGACCCCAGGTCTCGCTCACTGTAGGCCCCTCAGCTGGAGAGCATTCTTAATGTTAATATTCCCTCCTCACCTCCTAACCCTAAAGCCTCAAGGGTGCAGGAATTCCGCTGGCCTTAGCCCACCCCCCAGCCCCCAGGAGCTGCTCGCACCGCCGCTTGCACAGACGGGGGTAGACCACTCCGTGTCTCTGGGGTGACTCGACCTTCCTTGGGATGGCCAACCGCCTGAGAAAGACGCATAGGTGACCCGAGGCTGCCTCCCTGAAGCCTTCCTCTTGGCTATAGCTGTACCCCTGTGGAGCCCACACGAACCCAATCGCCCAACCTTCTATTCACCATTACAGCTTTCAGTAAACACTCGTTGCACCTCTGCTCTGTGCCAGCTCTTCCTAGACGGGATTCTCACATGTTTCACTTAACCCCTGTTTTCCCAGGTCTTACCACATAAGGTCCGAATGACAGTAACAAAACCATCTTTTTCTGTCTGTGCCCTGAGGATAGCTAACAGGTGAACACAGGTGCAGCCTCCTGGCTAACTCCAGAAACCACTCCCTTCTCTCCTGCCCCAGCGTTTGTCCCCTTGGCCCACAAGGCAGCACACTCAGGACCGTTCCACTCCCCTTCCCCCGACCCAGTGTGAGGCGGCCTCATCCTCTCATGGTGGGTGGGGTGGGGGGGCTCCTGCATGCTCACTGCAGAGTGGGGGCTGATGCCACACAGGTGTTCACACGTGTGCACCCCACCCTAACCAGCCACCGGGCTGCACAGCCCCTCACTCCACACGTGTGCACCCCACCCTAGACCAGCCACCGGGCTGCACAGCCCCTCACTCCACACGTGTGCACCCCACCCTAGACCAGGCACCGGGCTGCACAGCCCCTCACTCCACACGTGTGCACCCCACCCTAGACCAGGCACCGGGCTGCACAGCCCCACACTCCACACGTGTGCACCCCACCCTAACCAGCCACCGGGCTGCACAGCCCCTCACTCCACACGTGTGCACCCCACCCTAACCAGCCACCGGGCTGCACAGCCCCGCACTCCACACGTGTGCACCCCACCCTAACCAGCCACCCAGCTGCACAGCCCCTCACTCCAATGTCATGGGGAGGGGCTGGTGATACAGCCCTTTTACTAACTCCTCTTCCCATAATCTAGGCAAGAGCCTCATTCCCCATCTACTCAATGACATTCAAAGTGGTCTCCTGTCTTTGCTTTTTGCTCCTTGGTCCAAGCAAGCTCATTTCTTCTCTTTCTTCAAATAAATTACTGGGATTACTAATAGAGAGACAGACAGACAGACAGACAGAGACAGAGAGAGAGAGAGATCTTGCTAGCCATAAATCCAACGATTCTCTAAATAAGGCGAACTCTTCATTTACTCATCAACAGATAATTGTTATGCACAGTTGCAGGAGCTGGGGATACAGAGGTGAAGAGAATCCCCTGCCTCCAAGGAGCTTGCTGTCTAGAGAGGGGAGCAGACTTCAAGTGAATAAATGAACACTACTGGGCACTTCCTATTGTCTAGGAATTTCTACTAGGAGCGCTGTCTTAGTCTGTTCTCTGTTTCTATAACATAATGCCACCGACCGAGTAAATTATAAAGAAAAAAAGTATATTCAGTTCATGGTTCTGGAGCCTGGGAAGTCCAAGAGCATGGCACCAGCATGTGGCGAGGGCAGGTCATCTCGGTGGAAGTTAGAAGGCAAAAGCCAGTGTGCGCACAGCGGAGGGAGAGTCGCCAGGGTCAGCTCACTTTAGAACAACGTGCTCTCATGAGACCTAACTCACTTCTGCCAGAACAAAAATTTTTTTTTTTTTGAGACAGAGTCTCGCTCTTTCACCCAGGCTGGAGTGCAGTGGCACGATCTCAGCTCACTGCAAGCTCCGCCTTCCAGGTTCACGCCATTCTCCTGCCTCAGCCTCCCACGTAGCTGGGACTACAGGTGCCCACGACCATGCCCCGCTAATTTTTTGTATTCTTAGTAGAGATGGGATTTCACCATTTACAGGATGGTCTCGATCTCCTGACCTCGTGATCCGCCCGCCTCGGCCTCCCAAAGTGCTGGGATTACAGCCGTGAGCCACCGCACCCAGCCCTGCCAGAACACTATTAACCCATTCAAGAGGGCTCAGCCCTCATGACCTAGTCACCTCGTATCAGGCTCTTATTGAACATGTCCACCCCCTACCACTGTTACACTGGGATTCAGTTGCCAGCACATAAGCCTTTGGGATACATTCAGACATATTCACTGAGGTGGATAAGTGATAAGGACCTTCACTGCTCAACAGGAGCTGCCAGATACCCTTCAAGACTTTCCAAGAGGGAACCAAGCTGGTCCTTTGCCCCTCACTCCCTCCCCACTGATACCAGAGGACCGTATTCCTTGGGAGGGGAGCTACCCAGGCAACAGGTCAACAGGTTATGAGAAGACAAGTTTGTCTTTAACCCCACCTGTGTTTTCCCTTCACCCACACCCCCCCCGACCCCAACCAGAAGATCCTTCCAAGAAATCAAGGCTGCCTGCAGGATGGCCCTCTCCCTCCCCAGAAGCCTGGCTGGCACTCCACAGCTCCAGGAGCAGAGTGTGGGGTCCTGGAGTTCGGGCGCAGTAACCCTGAGCAGGGTTACTCAGCCACAGCACGATTGACTTTTTCAGCCAGGTATTCCTCTGGGGGGTGAGGGGGCTGTCCTGTGTATGGTACAATGTGTAGCAGCATCCCTGGCCTCTACCCCCTAAATCATAGTGGCACACATCCAACCCCCAGCTGTGACAATAAAAAATGTCTTCGGGTGTTGCCAAATGTCCCCCGGGGTCACCCTCCCACCCCCACCCCACCCCTTAACCCAAACCATGTGTCCAGAGCCTGTTACCTATTTCTAGCCTGGAGAATTAGGGGTGAGGAAACTGCTCTGTGCTTGCAGTAGTGCGGCAAAACTGCGTAGAGATGGAGCAGGCCTCCTTCCCACTGTTGACCAGACGGAGCGGGCCCGCCTTCCCACCCTCTGACCAGGCGGAGCGGCCCCGCTTCCCACTCTTGACCAGGCGGAGCGGCCCCCCTTCCCACTCTTGACCAGGCGGAGCAGGCCTCCTTCCCACTGTCTGACCAGGAGAGTTTCCCAAAAGCCAAGTAGAAACTGGAAGAAAGCGGGGGTCAAGCAGCCTTGAAGAAGCCCCGGGGGCAAGGGAACCCGTCACCAGAGGCTGAGATGCGCCTCTGGAGAGGATCAAGAGGCCGGCCTGAGGATGTATTACAAACGGGCTCCCGGGAAATCCTCCGATGCCCAGATCTGGAGAGGATCAAAGCAGAAGGATGACGGAGAAAGAGAAGAGAGCCCTCCTTCCACCTGCCAGCACCTGCACTGCAGGGAAGAGGGGGGGGTGGAATTGGAAAAAAGAATGAAAGTTGGATTTAGGTCGGGCACAGTGGCTCACGCCTGTGATCCCAGCACTTTGGGAAGCCAAAGCAGGAAGCTCAAAGCTCACTTGAGCCCAAGGAATTTGAGACCAGCCTGGGCCACATGGCGAGCGCCGTGTCTCTACTAAAAATAAAAAAATTAGCAGGGTGTGGTGGTGCGTGCCTGTACTCCCAGCTACGGAGGCCGGGCAGGTTGAGGGGCTGAGGTAGGAGGATCGCTTGAACCTGGCGGGTGGAGTTGCAGTGAGCCTTGATTGCGACACTGCACTCCATCCTGGGGGACACAGCAGACCTTGTCTCAGAAAAAAAAAGGAAAGAAACTCGGATTTATAGATCTAGTAGGTTGAATGATGGCCTGAAAAATATATGTCCACATCCTAATTCCCAGAACCTGTGACTGTGACTTTATTTGGTAAAAGGGTCTTTGCAGACATAATTAAATTGAGGCTGTCATGATGAGATCATCCTGGACATTTCGTAGGCCCTAAATCCAGTGACAAGCATCATTATAAGATGTACGTAGAGACTAGAAGGCGGCCCTAGGAAGATGGAGGCAGAGATTGGAGTGATGCAGCCACACGCCCAGGGACACCTGGGGCCCCCAGAAACGGGAGGAAGGAAGGACGGATTCTCCCCTGCAGCCTCCAGAGGGAGGACCACCCTGCTGACACCTTGATTTCAGCCTTCCGGCCGCCGGACTGTGAAATAATACATCCATTTTGTTTTAAGTCAGCCAGTTTGTGGTAATTTACTAGGGCAGCCCCAGGAAACAAATGCAACAGGAGACTAGAATTTGCTCGAGTGGAGACAGTCTTCAGCAAAGTCTACTTTTCATTCTGACACTTTTTTTTGAGACAGAGTCTCGCTCTGTTGCCCAGGCCGAAGTGCAGTGACGCGATCTCGGCTCACTGCAACCTCTGCCTCCCGGGTTCAAGTCATTCTCCTGTCTCAGCCTCCTGAGTAGCTGGGACTACAGGCGCATGACACCACGTCCGGCTAGTTTTTTGTATTTTTAGTAGAGATGGGGTTTCACCATGTTAGCCAGGATGGTCTTGATCTCCTGACCTCGTGATCTGCCCGCCTCGGCCTCCCAAAGTGATGGGATTACAGGCGTGAGCCCCCACACCCGGCTGTTTTGTGTGTTTTAAACTTTACATAAATGGTATCATACTGTATGTTTTGTTTTATTTTGTTTTCTTTTGTTTTTAAGACAGGGTCTCACTCTGTTACCCAGGCTGGAGTGCAGTGGTGTGATCTCAGCTCACTGCAGCCTTGACCTCCTGGGCTCAAGCGATCCTCCCACCTCAGCCTCCTGATTAGCTGAGACTACAAGCACGTACCACTACACCCGGCTGGTCTCAAACTCCTGAGCTCAAGTGACCTGCCTGCCTCGGCCTCACAAACTGTTGGGATTACAGGCGTGAGCCACCATGCCCAGTCATGCTGCATGCTTTTAAAAATTGAGGCAAAATTCATATAACATACAATTAACCATTCTAACATGTATCATTCAGAGCATTCGCAATGTTATCCAACCACCACCTCTCTCTAGTTTCAAAACGTTTTTCAATCACCCCATAAGAATTTTGATGGTTAATTTTGAGTGTAAGTTTGACTGGATAAGGGATGCCCAGGTGGCTAGTTAGGCATTATTTGGGGGTGTGTCTGAGAGGGTGTTTCTGGAAAGGATTTGCGTTTGAATCGTGGACTGAGTGAAGGTCACCCTCACCAATGTGAGTGGGCACATCATCCAGTCAGGTAGGGACACAGCAAAAAGGAGGGGAAGGATGAACTTGCTCTCTGGTCTTGAGCTGGGGCATCCACCCTCTCCTGTCCTCGAACAGTGAAACTCCTGGTTCTCTGGCTTTTGGACTGAATTCTGTCACTGGCTCTCTGGTTCTCCAGCTGGCAGGTGGCAGATTGTGATACTTCTCAGCCCTCGTAATCGTGTAAGCCAATTCCCGTAATAAACCTCCACATACAAGGAAGATAATATAAGAACATTCTTTTTCTCTGAGCACTGTCGACGGGGGTGGGGCAAGAATATTGTATGTCCATGAAATAGTCACTCCCAATGTCGCCCTCCCTGCAACTCCTGCAACCGTTAACCCGCCTTCTGTCTCCATGGATTTGCCCATTTGTATTCTTCCAAAACTTACAGGATTCTGGCTGCACATTCGAGGGATTTGTACGGGTGGTCACGTTAGACCATTGTTTGTTTTTCATTGCCATATAATATTCCATCATGAAACTCAACCACTTTTTTTTTTTTTTTCTTGAGAGAGGGTCTCATTCTGTCACCAGGCTGCAGTGCAGTGGTGCATCCTGGCTCACTGCAGCCTAGAAATCCCAGGCTTAAGTGATCCTCCGGCCTCAGCTTCCTGAGTAGCTGGGACTGTGGGTGCACCACCACACCTGGCTAATTTTTTAAAAAAATTAGGCCAGGCATGGTGGCTCAGGCCTGTAATCCCAGCACTTCGGGAGGCCGAGGTGGGCAGATCATGAGGTCAGGAGTTCGAGACCAACCTGATCAACATGGTGAAACCCGTCTCTACCAAAAATACCAAAATTAGCAACATGATGGCACGCACCTGTAATCCCTGCTACTGAGGAGGCTGAGGCAGGAGAATCACTTGAACCCAGGAGGAGGAGGTCACAGTGAGCTGGGCAACAGAATGAGACTCTCTCTCAAAGAAAAAAAAAAAAAATTTGGAGAGATAGGGTCTTCCTATGTTGCCCAGGCTGGTCTTGAACTCTTGGCCTTGAGTGATCCTCCTGCCTCAGCCTCCCAAAGTGCTGGGATTACAAGTGTAAGCCACCACACCAGAACTCAACCCCATTTTTTTTAGACAGGTTCTCGCTCTGTCACCCAGGCTGGAGTACAACGGCACAACCTTGGCTCACTGCAACCTCCGCCTCCTGGGTTCAAGCAATTCTCATGCCTCAACCTCCCAAGAAGCTGTGACTACAGGCGGGAGCCACCATACCAGTCTAATTTTTGTATTTTTAGTAGAGACAGCATATCACTATGTTGGCCAGGCTGGTCTCAAACTCCCGACCTCAGATGATCCGCCCGCCTCAGCCTCTCAAGGTGCTGGGATTACAGGCATGAGCTGCCATGTCCAGCTCTCAACCACTTTTTAAATTTTTTCCTTCTGTTGATGAATTTGTGCAACTTAAAAAAAATTTTCAGGCCAGGCATAGTGGCTTACACCTATAATCCCAGCACTTTGGGAGGCCGAGGCAGGTGGATCACCTGAGGTCAGGAGTTTGAGAGCAGCCTGGCCAATATGGTGAAACCCCGTCTCTACTAAAGATGGAAAAATTAGTCAGGCATGATGTCGCACATCTGTAATCCCAGCTACTCGGGAGGCTGAGCCAGGAGAATTGTTTGAACCCAGGAGGCAGAGGTTGCAGTGAGCCGAGATCGCACCACTGCACTCCAGCCTGGGCGACACAGCAAGATTCTGTCTCAAAAAAAGAAAAAATATTCAAAATGAGTATTATATCCATGTGGCAACAAAATGAAGGATCACAAAAGAAGATAGAGTGAAAACGAAGTGTCTTTTCCTCTCCTTCCAAAGAGACAGTCATTTTACCCATTTCTTATGTATCCTTTTAGCAGTATTCCAGGCACATACATATATGCATAGATGGCACCTTTTTTACACACGTGTTTATGTGGTAAGTATTGATTGAAAGCCTGCTGTATGCCAGACACTACTTTAGGTGATGGGGGTACAGCCGGGAACAAAACAAAGTTTCCAGCTTTCCTGTTTCTAATAGAAAGAGAAAGTGCTACACAGATAAACAGATGTACATGTCAAGCTGCACTCGTGCTGTGGAGGGGAGTAAGCACAGCAAAGGGACACAGGGGAAAGGTCAGGAAAGGCTTCTCTGATAAGGTAACACGTGAACAAAGCAAGGACAGCCAGGGCAAGAGTGTTCCAGGTGCCGGAGAAACAGCAAGGAGGTCCTGGGGTTGGGGTGGAGCACGGGGGCAGCAGATGTTAGCAAACCGCACACACCGCGCCTCGCTCCCTCTCCATGAACAGTCTTGGCCTTTGTTCCACATCAGCCTAAAATGAGCTGCCTCGTTCTTTTTTAGAGGCAGCCAAGTAGTCCACCATATGGAGGTAGTACAATTTGCTTAACTAGTTGTAGAGTTTTTCTTTTCCTTTTTTTTTTTAAGGTATGAAGTGAAAATCAGGAAGCGGTTGGAGTGAGTTCTCAAAGGAGGAAGAGGGAAGCACAGACCTGCTCTTCACAGTTGCAAAGCCTGGGGCAAGAGCAGGCACAGCGGCCCACGCACCTTATGTCTAAATATTAAAAGTTATGACAAACTGTTAAGTGAAATATGCACTGTTCTCCTACCTTGACGAATATACTTTCGTAACAACCTGGAAGGTCAGATTTAAATTTCGAATTTCAGATTCTTCAGGGTTCTGCAGCCTGCCCCAGGCCTGCACCTCCTCTTCCTACTTCCAGCTCCAGCACTGAGAAGGTCCCGTGAGCACTTGGGTGTGGACGCCTGAGCCTGCCCTGTGCAGTTTCCATCCATGCTGCCCTTGGGCCTAAGGGTGCTCCGGAGGAAAGACCCAGGAAAGAGGCCCACATAGGCCCTACAAGCAGGCTGAGGCTATTTGGGCAAGAAACTCCGAGGTCCCAGGTACTCGGATTGTGGGCTAGAAGGAAGGAGGGGGGATAGGCTCTACGTGGGTGAGACCCCTCGATTCCACGTGATTCCCATCTCTCAGGGAGAGATACAGCTGGAGTGGAGACAGCAGGATCCGATGGAGCACGGGACAGAGGGAAGGGACTCCTCTTGCCCACATCGAAGGCTGGTGCTGCAGAAGTGTGGACACTGCTTGTCTGCCTTGGGGAAGACACTCACAGTGTGGGCAGGACAGAGTGGAAAGCTGGAATCAGCAGCCGGGCCAGCTGGAGGGACCCAGGCTGAGCACACAGCAGGAAAGCCATGAACCGTAAGCCCTGCCCAGGGCTTGCCCACATCAGTGCCAACCAAAGGGGAAAACCTGGTCCTTCTTGGGAAAGAAACTTCCACTCTGGAGAATGTTCGAAGAGCTCATAACAATAATAGTCTCTGAAACCACAAAGACAAAGTATAAACAAGGAAGCCGACACCAACAGTGAAGATGCCACCATCTCGCTGGTTGGTCAACAAATATCATTGTAAAGTCTACCACTCTCTTGCAGGATTCGTGGAACTGGGAACATGCGTTCTGGCCACATTTGGTGACTGACTAGCATTGTGAGGTTGAGCAATTCACTTACATCATTGTAAAGTCTACCGCTCTCTTGCAGGATATGTGGAACTAGGAACATGGGTTCCAACCCATTTGGTGACTGACTAGCATTGTGAGGTTGAGCGATTCACTTACATCTCTGTGTATCAGTTTCCTCATCTATCCAACAGGAGTATACTTGCCCAATCTCTTTCAGAGTTACGAGAATCGGTTCCATTCCCCTTGCTTTGCTCATTTAGCCACTCACAAAACGTCAGCTCTGTGCCAAGAGCTGGGCAGGTCTGCAAGAGCAGAAATAAAGACATCGTACTTTCTCATACTTTCTGACCTCAAGGAACTTGGTCCGACTGAGGAGACAAACAGCTGTGCTCCAAGAGCTGCCCATTCCTTGTGCTGTTGCAGGCTTAGAAGCATTTTCCAGATAAATAAATCGAAGTTAAGATAGAATGAGGCCGGGCACAGTGGCTCTCGCCTGTAATCCCAGCACTTTTGGGAAGCCAAGGCAGGCAGATCACTTGAGGCCAGGAGTTCAAGACCAGCCTGGCCAACATGGTGAAATCCTGTCTCTACTGAAAATACAAAAATTAGCTGGGCGTGGTGGCGCACGCCTGTAGTCCCAGCTACTCAGGAGGCTGAAGCAGGAGAATCGCTTGAACCTGGGAGGAAGAGGTTACAGTGAGCCAAGACTGCGCCACTGCACTCCAGCCTGGGCAACAGAGTGAGACTCTGCCTCAAAAAAAAAAGAAAACAAAAATGTTAAGATAGAGAGTTGTTCTTTTAAAGTAAAGGGGGAAGCATTTTATTTCTGTGCTAAATTATGGTTTTCAAAAAGGTCAAATCATGCCTTTGATGTAAAATTTTATTCAACACTTTGACGAAGAAACCAATAAGATGTTAAAACTGGTTCAAATAATTTGAAGGAAAGAAATGTATATATTATACACAAACATATATAGTATCTATAAACATATATATACCATATAAACATCTATTGTATATATAAACATATTATTTTTATACATTTTATATAGGTATATAATATGTATTATGTGTGTCTTTATATATAAACATAAACAGGCCAGGCGCGGTGGCTCAAGCCTGTAATCCCAGCACTTTGGGAGGCCGAGACGGGAGGATCACGAGGTCAGGAGATCGAGACCATCCTGGCTAACATGATGAAACCCCGTGTCCACTAAAAATACAAAAAAAAATTAGCTGGGCGTGGTGGTGGGCACCTGTAGTCCCAGCTACTCGGGAGGCTGAGGCAGGAGAATGGCGTGAACCCGGGAGGCGGAGCTTGCAGTGAGCCGAGATCGCGCCACTGCACTCCAGCCTGGGCAAAAGAGCGAGACTCCGTCTCAAAAAAAAAAAAAAAAAAAAACATAAACATACACCCACCCACACAAACACAGTTGACCTTTGACCAACATGGAGGTTAGGGCTGCCAATCCCCGTGCCATCAAAAATCCGTGTGTAACTTCTGACTCCCCCAAAACATAAGTAACAATAGCCTACTATTAACCAGAAGCCTTACCAATGGCATAAACAGTCGATGAACATGTTTTTTGTATATGTATCATATACAGTAAAGTAAATAAAATGTTATTAAGAAAATCAGAGAGAAAACACATTGACAGTGCTGTACTGACACTGATTACTGTAAGTTTATATCATCTGTCTACAAGATGAATGGTCTGTCTGAAACGGCAGGCCGCCGCAGCTGCAGACCTCAATCTATGGTACATATCAGGCAATCCAGCTTTTTCTTGTAATGTCAGGACTTTCCTTTGCTTTTTGGGAGCACTTCCAGCATCATCCGTAGCAGTTCATCTGGGTCCTACGGTGTTGCTATAAGGCTTAGGGCATTGCACTAAACACAGTGAAAGACGCTGGAGAACTCCAATCGATCACTTTTTCCTGCTGTTCACAACTTACTGGAGAGGTAAGCTGCTCATGTGGAGATAATTAGCGGGTTTGTTCATGTTTGTTTTTGTTTTTGTTTTGAGACAGAGTCTTGCTCCATCGCCCAGGCTGGAGTGCAGTGGCACAGTCATGGCTCGCTGCAGCCTCCAACTCCTGGGCTCAACTGATCCTCTCCTTCAGCCTCCTGAGTAGCTGGGACTACAGGCAGGCGCCACCATGCCTGGGTAATTTTTTAATTTTTCTTTTGTAGAAAAAATTTCTGGTTTCAAACTCCCAACCTCAAGTGATCCTCCTTCCTCGGGCTCCTAAAGCACTGGGATTATAGGCATGAGCCACCGCCTAGATAATTTACTTTGTCACATGACATTTTAAGGGGATATTTGCAACACTTGGGCTGATTAAAATAACAACAGGAGATGGCTACAAAATTATCACAGTAGGGCAGTATGTGTTACAGTGAAATTTATACAGTTACAATTTAACACTGCATCTTTAAATTATCACAGTAGTGCAATATTACGGTGAACTTTACACAGTTACAATTTAACACTGCGTCTTTAAATTATCACGGTAATGCGGTATGTGTTACAGTGAACTTTATACAGTTACGATTTAACACTGCATCTTTAAATTATCACAGCAATGCGGTATGTGTTACAGTGAACTTTATACAGTTACGATTTAACACTGCGTCTTTTAATTATCACGGTAATGCGGTATGTGTTACAGTGAACTTTATACAGATACGATTTAACACTGCATCTTTAAATTATCACGGTAATGCGGTATGTGTTACAGTGAACTTTATACAGTTACGATTTAACACTGCATCTTTAAATTATCACGGTAATGCGGTATGTGTTACAATTAACTTTATACAGTTACGATTTAACACTGCATCTTTAAGTTATCACAGTAATGTGGTATGTGTTACAGTGAAGTTTATACAGTTATGATTTAACACTGCATCTTTAAATTACCACAGTAATGCGGTATGTGTTACAATTAACTTTATACAGTTACGATTTAACACTGCATCTTTAAATTATCACAGTAATGTGGTATGTGTTACAGTGAAGTTTATACAGTTATGATTTAACACTGCATCTTTAAATTATCACAGTAATGTGGTATGTGTTACAGTGAAGTTTATACAGTTACGATTTAACACTGCATCTTTAAATTATCACAGTAATGCGGTATGTGTTACAGTTAACTTTATACAGTTACGATTTAACACTGCGTCTTTAAATTATCACGGTAATGCGGTATGTGTTACAATTAACTTTACACAGTTACGATTTAACACTGCATCTTTAAGTTATCACGGTAATGCGGTATGTGTTACAATTAACTTTATACAGTTATGATTTAACACTGCATCTTTAAATTATCACAGTAGTGCAGCACGTGTTACAGTTATCTTTTTTTTTTTGTTTTTGAGATGGAGTTTTGTTCTTGTTGCCCAGGCTGGAGTGCAATGGCGCAACCTCAGCTCACTGCAACCTCTGCCTCCCAGGTTCAAGCAATTCTCCTGCCTCAGCCTTCCGAGTAGCTGGGATTACAGGTGCCTGCCAACATGCCCAGCCAATTTTTTTTGTATTTTTAGTAGAGAGCAGGTTTCACCAAATTGGCCAGGCTGGTCTGGAACTCCTGACCTCAGGTGATCCACCTGCCTTGGCCCCCCAAAGTGCTGGGATTACAAGCATGAGCCACCACGCCCGGCTACAGTGAACTTTATACAGTTACAATTTAACACTGCATCTTTAAATTATCACAGTAGTCCAAGATGTGTTGCAGTGAACTTTATACAGTTATATTTAATACTGCATCTTTAAATTTGTTTATGTTTCTCTTGACTGCAGGCATGGTCTGTAAATGTGTGGGTAAGTTTTGATACATTTTAACTTTTTAAAGTAGATGTATGTATATTTTATGGTGGTAAATGATTTTAAAAAACTAGTATTGGGCTAGGTGCAGTGGTTCATGCCTATAATCCTAGTGCTTTGGGAGGCCAAGGCAGGAGGATTGCTTCAGGCCTGGTGTTCAAGACCAGCCTGAGAAACATAGCAAGACTCTGTCTCTTGTAGAGAAAATTTTCTAGAATTTTCCTTGATAGGAACTATTCTTGACAGCTCCTGGTGCCCATGTCGTGGGGGCACCGTTCATTCTTTTGCTGATATTTGACATCCCACATATGACTATATCGCTGAGTTCTTTCCCTTTGTTTTTTCTTTTTTTGAGATGGAGTCTCAACATAGTGAGACCCTGTCTCTACAAAAATAAAATAAAATAAAAGATGTAAAAATTAGCCAGGTGTGGTGGCCTGCAACTGTAGTCCCAGCTACCTGGGAGGCTGAAGCAGGAGGACAGCTTGACCTTAGGAGTTGGAGGCTGCAGTGAGTGATTGTTTCATTGCACTCTAGCCTGGGCAACAGAGCAAGACCCTATCTCTTAAAATAATACACTAGTGCTACATATATTTTATGCGTTCATGACCTACCTTTTTCTTCCTTTTTTCAATATTTCCAGGCTAAGCAGTTCATCTTCTAGTTTTTTCAAATTGTTACAAATCTCCAAAAAATTTTCCAATATATGTATTGAAAAAAATCCACATGTAAGTGAACCCACACAGTTCAAACCCATGTTGTTCAAGGCCAAATATATTAGAGAAATGCTGAAATGAAGTTGCTAATAAATGCAAAGTGGTTAACACCCATAATATCCTACAGTACAATAAAATGTAATGTTTTGAGATTATCTTTTCTCCAGGATAGAATTGTATCTTTGCCAGACAAAATTGTATCTTTGCCAGACAAAATTCATTTGTATTCTTGTAGGTAAGAATCACTTGCATTACTGTAAGTTTTTTTACAGCTTAGCTTTTATCCCTATGGAGTTGTAAAATAGCCTAGTTATTAGAAAGGTAAGTCAAGGTGCACCCCATAGAATCATAATCCCCAAGAGTTAGGAGGGCAACACCTGGCATTCCACAGAAAGGACACCCAGCATTCTCTTTTGCCCATTTCCAAATCTTGAACGACATTGCCCCTGATTGTATTGGTAACCTTCTTTTTTTTTTTTTTTTTTTTTTTTTTTGAGACAGGGTCTCACTCTGTCACCCAGGCTGGAGTACAGTGGTGCAATCATTGCACTCCACTACTTGGGAGGCTGAGGCAGGAGAATCACTTGAACCCGGGAGGCGGAGGCTGCAGTGAGCCGACATGGCGCCACTCCACTCCAGCCTGGGCCTCAACGAAAAAAAGATCCAGGTTTTTTTCTTTCTTTATCTTTTCCTTAAACAAGCATGAACCCGCTATCCAAACCAAGAAGTCAAACATAACCAACCGTCTCATCGTCCTGTGCACCCCTCCCTTCCCCGACTCCCCAACCCCCACCAAGAGGTCACCACTGTCCCTGCCCTACAGTTTACACTTTTTGTTGCACTGTAAAATATCGTTGTATCATAAATACATTTGTGTTAAACAGACGTCCTTTTTTTTTCTTTTTTAGAGATGGAGTCTCGCACTGTCACCCAGCCTGGAGTGCAGTGGCACAGTCTCCGCTCACTGCAACCTCCCCCTCCTGGGTTCAAGCAATTCTCCTGCCTCAGCCTCCCGAGCAGCTGATTATAGGCATACGCTGCCATGCCCGGCTAAGTTTTTGTATTTTAGTAGAAATGGGGTTTCACCATGTTGCCCAGGCTGGCCTCGAACTCCTGAGCTCAGGCAATCCATCTGCCTCGACCTCCCAAAGTGCTAGGATTACAGGCGTGAGCCACCGTGCCTGGCCCCTTTTTTTAATTTAATATTGTTTCCAAGGTTCATCCGTGTTGTGGGGGCATAGATCATCCTTTTGCTGATGTATAATATTCCATGTGTGACTATATCACTGAGTGGTTCCAGCTTTTTGCTACTATGAGCTATGCTGATATGAACATTTTTGATGGCTCCTGGTGCCCATATGCAAGAATTTCACTTGGATGTGTCTTTTTTTTTCTTTCTTAAACATTCAGTTGGTGCCAAGCTTGGGTATATCTTAAGGACTGGGGTTCTCAGAGATCCTGCCGTCCTCAGGACACTGGCTCTGCCTTCCAATTAGCTCCTGTCACTGTAGCGAGATGTTTGCCACAGACCCAGGCAACACATCCATGGCCGACCGTGCCCAGCAGCAGAAGAGGAGCGTGTCTCCTCCTCCCTTTGATGAAGGAGCAAACCTTTCCCTGGAGCCTCAGGTAGATGATCTTGAACTCTAATTGGCCAGGAGTGGGTAACAGGTTATTTCTCAAACATATTACTGACAAAGAGAATGGGATGACCATAATGACTCCAGCCAATCAGGATTCTCTTGTGAAGATACGGGGCGGCTGTAGGTGGGCACAGGGACCAGAACAAGATCAGAGCTCTGCAGGAAGGGGGCAAAGGTTGGGTGGGCAATTGCAGCTGACAATGTCTTCTCCACCTCCATCCCCCGCCATTCCCCTCTACCTGCAGAAAGCTTCTTCCAGACACCTGTGACTCTGCCTGAGGCTTTTCTCCACTTGCATTTTTGGCCCACGCAGAAGAAGCCAGAAGTGCTACAGAGTTAGTGCCTCTAGAAGCCACGTTTTCTGAGAGGTGGTGGATAATACCCAGCTTCTGAGAGGTGGTGGATAATACCCAGCTTCTGAGAGGTGATACCCAGCTTCTGAGGGGCGGTGGGTGACACCCAGCTTCTGAGAGGCGGTGGGTGACACCCCGCTTCTGAGAGGTGGTGGGTGACACCCCGCTTCTGAGAGGTGGTGGGTGATACCCAGCTTCTGAGAGGTGGTGGTCAGCTTCTGAGAGGTGGTGGGTGATACCCAGCTTCTGAGAGGTGGTGGGTGATACCCAGCTGCTGAGAGGTGGTGGTCAGCTTCTGAGAGGTGGTGGGTGACACCCAGCTTCTGAGAAGCTTCGTTGCCCCTCACTTGGGATCACTGGCATGTTTTGGCACCGCCTCCCAGAGTCCTCCCAGAGGACTGAGCTGTGGTTGAGCACAGAGGTAGCTGGCAGGATAATGAAAACTTTATTAACTGTCCTGCCTTCCCTGTCTCACTTGCCCACTCCTCCACCCGTGTTTCCTAAGACCCTCTCGCAGATAAACTCTGCACTCAATTCCTAGTCTTAGAGTTTGCATTTGGGGGAACTCAAACAAACACAACAACCAACACAGCAGCCAACAGTCCCTGTGCCAGGGATGTGTGAGCAAGATGGGAGACTGGGTTGGATGCTGGATAGATGGGCTGTTGGCTAAGGATAGAAAATTAGAAGTCATCAGCATGTAGGACATGATTGCAGCTGTGAATGTAGATGAGAATACCTTAATATACAGACAGAGCTTCAAGAACAGAGTCCTTAGGCCAAGCTCGGAAAACACCA